>NC_000022.11:30982291-31133806 GCF_000001405.40 Homo sapiens | reverse complement strand
TATTTGTCTGAACTCAAGGAGCAGAATGTAGAGGCTGTGGCATTTGACAAAAGTCTTTAGGCACCCCCAGCCCAGCAGTCTGGCCTACTTACCTGGAAGGGTTCAGTGATGCCGATGAGGATGCTGTGGTTGTGACTATAGTAGCCCAGGATGAAGTCTCCATGGCCCTTGGGCAGTGATTCCTCACTGAATGTTACCTGGTAGGCCCAGGGGTATAAGCCTAAGTTGGGGGTCAGGGAGGCCACCTGAGAGCCCCCAAGGTGAGTTCTGAGGTCCCAAAGGCAACAAGGACTTGCCCTGACTCTCCCACTCCTTTTAAGTACCTGGTAGGTATTCCCATCCACATCTTCATGTTTGGCCCAGACATAAGCCACATAGTCCTTGCAATGGCGGAAACCCACCTGGGGGATCAGTGTTGTGGAATCAGTGTTGTGACCCTATAATGTCTGATCCCAGCAGTCTCCCAGTGTGGCATCAAGATCTGGACAAGCCAGTGACCCCACCATGCTGTTCAGCTGCTCCTCCAGGCCCCTTTCTTCCCTGAGTCGCTGACCACCACTGCCCCTCTCACCCGGTATAAGCCGATCCAGTCCCAGGAGCTGCGGGCGAACACTGTTTCCATGCGGTACCTCACCACCGCCTGCTCGGGCCGCACCCACTCATCTGCCACCTCCAGCCGCACCAGTGGCATGTCGTCCCTGAAGGCAAACTGTCCAGGCAAGGCAGGGGCAGGGGGCCACATCAGGGGAGACCCTCTAGTATCCCACACACTTAAGGCTCTTGGGTCTTAGCACAAATTGCCTGAGACAAAGGGCCACTTTACAGACTGGGAAACTGAGGCAGAACAGGTCTAGTATAAATACCAAGCCCTGTGCTGCCTCCCAGCCCAGGGTTCCTTCTGCCCACAGCCTCCTTAGGGAGTGAGTGAGAACATAGCTTTGAAGCTAGCAAATCCTGGATTTGGCTCTGGTTCTGCCGTTGACAGGCTGGGTGAGTTCCTCAGCCTCTCTGAATGCCAGGGCCCTCATCTGTAAACTCAGAGACTCTTTTTTTTTTTTTTCTTTTTCTGAGATGGAGTCTCGCTCTGTCACCCAGGCTGGAGTGCAGTGGTGCAATCTCGGCTCACTGCAACCTCCACCTCCCGGGTTCAAGTGATTCTCCTGTCTCAGCCTCCCCAGTAGCTGAGACCACAGGTACCGCCATCACGCCTGGCTAATTTTTGTATTTTTAGTAGAGGCAGCGTTTCACCATGTTGGCCAGGCTGTTCTTGAACTCCTGACCTCAAATGATCCACCCACCTCAGCCTCCCAAAGTGCTGGGATTATAGGCATGAGCCACCGTGCCCGGCCAAACTCAGAGACTCTTATTTTACTCTTGGAGTTGTTCAGCAGATTCAGTGAGACACCATTTGCAAAGCATCCCATAAATTTCCCAGTATACCAGTAAGTGCTCAATAAATGATTTGTCTCTATGCTAGCAAGGAAGACCAATAAAATCCTATGATGCACTGGGTATTTGGGGTAAGCTGAATATTCCTGAGCAGGCAAGAAGAGCTCTGCGTGGGAGGATGGAGACCTCAGTCCACTTCCAGGCTCTACTGCTAACTCGCTATGTTACCCCAGGGCAGGCTCTAACCATCCCAAGGTTCAGTTTCTCCAACTGAGTCTAAGTACTAAGCGGTTACTAACTATTACCTTGTCATCAGTCCATGAAGGAAAGTTATAACCACGAGTATCCTTTCCCCAAGGTCAACCCAGACCCACCAGGGGCGCCACCTGAATGGGTGGAGCTGCTGAGGTGGCAGGCTGCCAGGATATTGACCCCACCTCTGTCCCTCAGGGAAGGACTGAGTTGTTGCCAACACCAGATCTTTGTCTGATCCCCTGTTTACCTAGTTTCAGGTTTCCCTCCCTCAGCTTCCGAGCCAATCTGTTCCAGAAGTAACTGGCACATTCTTTCCCTGTTCCTGTGTTCCTAACAGCAGGGGCGGGCAAGGGTAGACCTTTGAAAATGCCCTCCAAGGCCTTGCAGCATCAAAACCCCTACTGAGCCCTATTCTGACTGCATTGCCTTGGCTAAGAGACTTAAGTTCTCTGAGCCTCAGTTTCCCTCACCAGTAAAACAGAGAGGAAAACTGGGACATCTCAGGGCCTACTGAGGCATTCAAAAGGATGACATATGTAAAGTGCACTACACAGGCCTGGCATGTAGTAGGTACTCAATGGGAATTTTTTTTTTTTTTTTGAGACAGAGTCTCGCTCTGTAGCCCAGGCTGGAGTGCAGTGGTGCCATCTCAACTCACTGCAACCTCCGCCTCCCGGGTTCAAGCAATTCCTCTACCTCAGCCTCCCGAGTAGCTAGGACTACAGGTGCGCACCACCACACCCAGGTAATTTTTGTATTTTTAGTAGAGAGAGGGTTTCACTGTGTTGGCCAGGCTGGTCTCGAACTCCTGACCTAGTGATCCGTCTGCCTCAGCCTCCCAAAGTGCTGGGATTACAGGCGTGAGCCACTGCACCTGGTTGGGAAATGTTTTTAAAGGGACAGAGTCCTGGAGGAGGTGGGAAGGACAGGATGGGGTGTCAAAAGGAGTGATTTTTCAGGTGAGGTCCCTAATTGTGGGTTAAATCTTCATGCCCAACACTTTTGCCAGAGGTCATGGCAGGCCAAGCGTGGGGATATTTCCATTCCCAGCTAAAGATATTGGCCAATGTCCCACTGACTGGCCATGTGACAAAGTTACCAGGAAAAACATTTTCTGGCCTGCTGGGCTCCCTCTTATCAGATCAAGAGACTTGAAGAGCCCAGAGTTGGGTTTCAGGGCTGAAAAGATGGGATCTACCCTGCTCTGCCACTGCAGAGCCTGTGTATGGTTTGGGGCATGTGCCTACCCCATGAGGAGCCTCAGATCCCGCCACAGAAAAAAAGGGAGTGGGCCAAATTGGTCTCACAGGTCTGGTTCTGAGATTCTAGGATTTCCCATTTTGATGTCGGCAACCAGGAACCTCAATCCTAAATACAATATAAATTATAGTAACTACTTAAGAGTTCAGCTTTGTATTTTTTATATCTTTGCTCTCCCTCCCCATCACTACACACTCTCATAATGCTTGGCATATGGTAAGACAGTTAAGTACTCAGTAAATAACGAATGAATGAATATGAATGAATGTTACATGGAGTTTGATTTTGCTGGTCTTATTATATATGTGAATTTTTATATCTTTTCTTTGTTATTTTTAAGACACTAGTAGTGAAAATGATGATGCATATGTGAATTTTTTTTTTTTTTTGAGACAAGGTCTTGCTCTGTTGCCTGGGCTGGAGTGCAGTGGTACGATCACAGCTCACAGCAGACTAGATCTTCCAAGCTCCAGTGATCTTCCCACCTCAGCCTCATAAATAGCTGGGAATACAGGTGTGCACCACCTAGCTAAATTTTATTTTTATTTTTATTTTTTCCCTGAGACACAGTCTTGCTCATGTCACCCAGGCTGGAGTGCAGTGGCACGATACTGGCTCACTGCAACCTCTGCCTCCCAGGTTCAAGTGATTCTTGTGCCTCAGCCTCCCAAGCAACTGGGATTACAGGCATGCACCACTGCGCCAGGCTAATTTTTGTATTTTTAGTAGAGATGGGTTTCGCCATGTTGGCCAGGCTGGTCTCAAACTCCTGGCCTCATGTGATCCGCCCACATCAGCCTCCCAAAGTGCTGGGATTACAGGCGTGAGCCACTGCGCTCGGCCTTTTTTTGATTTTTTTTAAAGACAGTGTCTCACTGTGTTGCTCAGGCCGGTCTTAAACTCCTGAGCTGAAGTGATCCTTCCACCTCAGCCTCTCAAAGTGTTGAGATTACAGGTGTGAGCCACTGCGCCAGCCTATAAATGAATTTTAAGATAAATTACTCTAAACCTTTCTCAGAAGACAGGAGTTAGAGATTAGCAGAAAAGGCACGGGCTCTAAGGCTGGGTGTGGTGGCTCACACCTTGTAATCCCAGCACTTTGGGAGGCCGAGGTGGGCAGATCACCGGAGGTCAGGAGTTCGAGACCAGCCTGGCCAACATGGCAAAACCCCATCTCTACTAAATACAAAAATTAGCCAGGCGTGGTGGCGGGCAGCTGTAATCCCAGTTACTCAGGAGGCTGAGGCAGGAGAATCACTTGAACCCAGGAGGTAGAGGTTGCAGTGAGCCGAGACCACGCCACTGCACTCCAGCCTGGGCAACAGAGTGAGACTGCATTAAAAAAAAAAAAAAAAAAAAAGGGCGCCGGGCACAGTGGCTCATGCCTGTAATCTTAGCACTTTGGGAGGCTGAGGTGGGTGGATCACCTGAGGTCAGCAGTTCAAGACCAGCCTGGCCAACACGGTGAAACCCTGTCTCTACTAAAATACAAAAATTAGCCGGGCATGACGGCGGGTGCCTGTAATCCCAGCTACTTGGGAGGCTGAGACGGGAGAATCGCTTGGACCCAGGAGATGGTGGTTGCAGTGAGCCAAGATTGTGCCACTGCACTCCAGCCTGGGGCGGCTGAGCAAGACTCCGTCTCAAAGAAAAAAAAAAAAAAAAAAAAAGTTGGCCAGACACGGTAGCTCACGCCTGTAATCCCAGCACTTTGGGAGGCCAAGGTGGGTGGATCAGGAGGTCAGGAGTTCAAGACCAGCCTGGCCAACATGGTGAAACCCTGTCTCCACTAAAAATACAAAAATTAGCCTGGCGTGGTGGCGGGTGATGTAATCCCAGCTACTCAGGAGGCTGAGGCAGGAGAATCACTTGAACCCGGGAGGCGGAGCTTGCAGTGAGCTAAGATCGTGCCACTGCACTCCAGCCTGGGTGACAGAATGAGACTCTGTCTCAAAAAAAAAAAAAAAAAAAAAAAGAAAAGGCATGGGCTCTGAAACCAGACTCACTTGGGTTCAAATCCTAACTGTTCCTCTTACTAGTTGGGTGACCCTGGGCAGGTGATGCCATGTGTCTGAGCCTCAGCTTCCTCATCTGAAAATGTAGATTGCAACCCCATTTCCACTGTTACAACAAATGGATGCTGCTGAGGGCAGGTACAAGGGGTTATACAAAGGGTAATGGTGAGGGGCAGTGGTATGCCGAGTTGGGCCTGGGGATTTCATGCGGGGAGGATGAGGCCAGAACTCACCTGCAGGAGGAACTGGGCAGCCACAGGCTTGTGGTCGCTGACTGTGTATTCCATGTGGCTGCGGTAGCTGTGCTGCGTCACCTGGAGTCGGTGGCTCTTCCGTCCTGAGGGGCTGGGACCCCCACCTGGAGCCTTGACCTTCCATAGGATACGGTCTGTCCAAGCTGGCTTCCGTTTCTTGGCACTGCAGTGAGCAGGGGTACCCCAAGTTTCAGGGGCTGGGGATCAAGATGTAACCCTCCACCTTGCCTCCTGCCCCTCTTCCCAAAGTCTCCCTGTTCGAGAAGACCTCAGCCCACTTCCCCTCAGTCCCTCCTCGGACTGAGCTCACCTGGTATCGTATTTGTTGGTACCCACATCAAACTTGAAGGTGGGAGCGAAGTTGAGGGGCCCCTCCTGAAAGCCCTTCAGAATGGGCCAGGTGTTCTTGGCCATGTTGAGCTGTGGGGGGTCCAGGAGAGCAGATTGGACAACAGCTTGGGCTCTGCTGTGCCCAGGGAGGGGGTGGGGCAGGTGAGGACAGGGACCATAGTCTAAGGTACAGGCGTGTCCTGGGACATGCTCTGTGTGCTTCTGGGGACAAGGACCCCACCTGGTCCTTCTCCCAGAGCTGATGGAGCTGGTCACTGTCGATGGCAAACTTGACAAAGTGCAGGTCATAGCTCTCAATGCGGAAGTTCAGGTCCCCGAACCAGAACACGAGGCTGTTTGGGGTGGGGGATGGGAGAGATGTGGGGGGCAGTGGGGGGTGTCAACAGGTCCATGGAGGATAAGGGCTCAGCCCAGATCCTTCCAGCCCATCCAACCCGAGGGGATGTAGTGAGTGGGTGAGTGGTGCCAGAGCCTCCAGCCCACCAAAGGGCAGAGGAAAAGCAGAGGGACCGGTCTACAGGAAATTAGGTTCTGACCTTCAGCAAGGCGGGGCCCCTCAGCAAAGCTCCACCCTACAAGCTCCGCCCCTCCCCATCCAACTGCTCTCTGCTTTCGTGTTCCTACAACTAGTTTGGGTGGGCACTAAACCCCATAGGCCCTGCCTCTCTCCATAAGCCCCACCCAAGGTGGTACAAAAACCCCCATCACTAGCCCCACCCAAGCTCTATTTGGCCCCACCCCAGCCCATACTCATGATCCAGGATGCCCTGTGCGCCCGGCCCTTGGAACTGCTGGAGGCTGAGGATGGTCTGGAAGTTGTCTTTGCGCTGCTCCGCCTTGTCCATATGCGCAGGCAAGTGGCAGTTCAGGAAGCAGAGCATGTGCCCGAAGGCCGCCAGGCGCACGCTCACGCCACCCTTGTTACCCTAGGGAGGCAGGGTCGGATGGCTCATGGGCGGGGCTTAGGCCAGGAGGTGAGGCACTGGGAGCGGGGGTTAGAGAGGAGATGTGGGTGGAAGGTGGGTGGGTCCTACAGAAATGAGGAACAACGCTGGGACACAGTGGGGAGAGAAAAGGGCGGGGGTATAGAGGAATAGGATGGGGTATTGGGTGGTGCATGGGGGGGCTGGGCCGCAGGGTAAAGGGTGGAGGATGGGAAGGGGACCTTGCTGTGCATGGGGCGGGGGGACTAATCTAAAGCCCCCTTCATGTCCCATCCTCTTCTGGGCCTGCTCACAGGCTCACCCAGTAGCCGCCCAGGCCAGTGCGCGTGCAGTCGGTCTGCACGTCTCGCAGGAAGGGCAGGTGGTAGTACTTGGCGAACAGCAGCAGGATGACACCCTGCATCCTCACCGAACTCACCTGCAGCGGGAGGCCACGTGGCTGGGGGACAGAACACAACTCCCCCGCCCTCGCGCCCACCTTCAGGTCTGCTCCTCCACCCACCCATGTCACGGACCCAGCCACAGAGGCCCAGCGGGCCCCACAGTGAGCCAGGGTACAGCTGGAGCCAGGAATTCAGCAGGGTCTCTGGCTGTCCAGGGGGTGAGGGGTGCGTTACCAGCACGAAGTTGAAGGGCCCTAGCGCATCCATGAACAGCTCACTCCACTGGTCCGTGAAGAGGGCGTCCTTGAGTCGCTTGTTGAGCATGGAGTTCACTTCCTGCAACCTGGAGGGGTGGGGGCAGGGTGGCCATGGGATTGGAGAGGTGCCCTGGAAGCCCCTGCCATGGGTGGAGGGCCCGGAAGGCCCGAGGGGCTCAGGAGGGGGTCCACATGCCCTGCCACCTCACCCTATGGCGATCATGTCTGCGCCGTCGCTGTCGTCACCACCGCCCAGGTGGAGGAGGGATGTGACATCGTCTGGGGGCATGGCAGTGCCCACGTTCCATGTGACCACAGTGATCCTGAGGGCAGGGGCATATGAGGGTGTAGTCCTGGCACCACTCCCTCACCCTCAAGCTTCCTTTCACAGGACTCCCTGGGGAACTAAATGGAGGCAGGTGTGGGCCAAAGCCCTAAGAAGGACCCACAGGAGGCCCCGAATCCTGTCCCTCTGCCACACTCTCCCTGGGGAGATCAACTGAGAGGCGGCAAGTTCCTTAGGAGGGGATGCTATCTTCTGAGCGTCACAGAGTGGGCCCAGCAACCCCCTCCCCAAAGACTCTTCCTCAGAGAGAGAAGCTGAGGTAGAGCACACCATCCACCCTGGAAGAATGGCTAACCTCAGAGCTAAGCCCCAGCCACCTTTCTTGGGAGAGGGCCCCCTCACCGGAAGCCGGGGTCGCTCTTCCAGGTAGGCTGAGCTGACCAAGGGGAGGATGACAGGGTGGATGTAGAAGAGGAGGTGGTGACTGGGGCTGGGGCTTCTTGGGCCTGAAGGTTGGGGCTCAGGCACCTGCCAGGCCCTGTACTCTGTGTGCCAAGCCTTGGGAGGGCCATGTCAGGGGCTGGGGGAACACAGGGAGAGCGATTCGGGGAGTGGCTTGGGGAACGGCTGGGTGATCGGGGTGGCTTGGGCAGAGGTGGGGGCACAGTCTGGCCTGAGGGGGCCCCAGGCCGGAAGGTGGGGGACAGAAGTCCAGGGGAGTGAGTGCCAGGCTCTGAAGGACCCTGGCCCACATCCAAGGGCAAGGTCTGGGGTGGCCGTGGCAAAACAGGATCCTCAGGGCTGCTGTGGAGGGCCTCAGGCCGGGCTCGGAAGGAGGGGGAGAGCCGAGGGTCTGGGGAGGTTTGGATGCAGGGTGGGGAGCCTGTAGGACCAGATGTCTGAGCTGGAGGCTGGAGATGCCCCTCAGAAGCAGGGAGAGGTCTAGGGGCTGGGGCATCCCTCTTTCTAGCTGATGTCTGTCCCACAGAGGCTGCGCCTGATGCCGTGGATGCTGGAGCCAGGGCCTGTTCCTGAGTTGGAGACAGAACTGGACTGGGCACCGGGGAAGGGGTGGAGGGGAGTTCTGGGGGCTGCTCCTCAGAAGCCAGGGCCAGGCTCAGGCCAGAGGCTGCCAGTGTTGGCTTGGGTCCCACGGAGGCAGGTGGCTCCTGCTTCTGGTCTCTGGAGGTTGGGGCCAGATTGGGCCCCAGGGTGACTGGGGGAGATCTTGGCCCTGCTGAGGCAGGCATCACCAGCCCCAGGGACGTCGGAGCCAGAACTGAGCCTGTGGTCGCTGGGGGAGGCTTTGGTCCAGCTGAGGCAGACATCACCAGCTGGCCCACAGATGTTGGGGCCAGGCTGGAGCTGCGGTGGGCAGTAGCTGTTTTCTGCCCTTCAGGGGTACACAGTGGAGCCAGGATTGGTCGGGGAGATGCCAGAGCCAGCCTCGGTCCTTCCGAGGAAGCTGACATAGCTGCCCGTGGCCCTACAGGTGCCAGAGCCAACCTTGGTTCCGAGGGTCCTAGGGCTGCGTTCTTCTTTGCTGGGAGCTGAAAACTTGAGTCCACCTTGTGGAGGACAAGTCAAAGATTCAGAGTGACCCTAACCAGGGCATTGGGCCCCAACTTCCATATAGACCCTGGCAGAGTTCATCTAGCTAAGAAAGGCACATCTTTCCAAGGAAGTTCTTCCTACTATCTCACTTCAATCTATTCTGCTGCAGGTCAACTTCTGTCTTGGAGGAGATAGGACACAAAACCCTAACCCCTCCTTTAAGTCTGAAACCTCTTTCACAGATGGGGAAACTCAGACCCTGACTCAAATGAGGCAGAGTGTGAACCTAAACCTGAGGACTTGCCTTGCCTTCCTGGCTGGCACCCACACCCTGCCCATTCGGGGCAGCTTCCCTGGGCAACCCTCCCACTGCAGTCCCTGAAGCTCCCCCAGCCACGGCTACTGACCTGACATCCCAGGTCTGGGCACACTGGGGACAGCCTGTTTCTTTTCTTTTTCTATTGTCAAGATACAGACCTACAGGTGCAGCTTGTTAAATACCTCTCCCTTCCTTCATAATGCCCAGAAACCCTCAGTTCCCCACCGCCCCCTAAACATCCAAATCCCTTGGTTACAGCCCTCTCTGTTCTCTTACCCATTCCCAGAGCTCCACTCAGGAGCAAGAGCTGGGAGCTGAGACTGGCTGTGTAGATTCAAAGCCCAGCTCTGTGTGACCTTAGGCAAGTACCTCTCTGCCCAGCGCCTCAGTTTCTCTGTCTGTAAAATGAAGGGATGGGGTCTAGGGTTCCTGGCCACATTATATTCTGGGGAATCTTCATCTCCCATTGTCTGCATTTATGAGCCCAACATTTGCTAGAATTCCATCTAGCCCCGTTGAATAGTCCATCCTCACCAAGTGTGAATCTAGCATTCAGAGCAAGTCCAGGATTCTAAGTTGATCCTGGTGTCACATCTCTCTGTGCCCAGGTTGTGCCCTCTTACATCCTCCACTTTCTCCCCTACCTGAAAGGACAGGCAAGCAGGTATCCCATTTATGTCCGGCAGGTGGGAGGGGTGGGGAGTCACGGAGTCCTGTAGAGACCTATCCTCCTTCCCCATCTATTCTCTCTGATGTCCCCTGTCTCCAGAAGACAGGATAAAGTGTCCTTCACCAAGGAGGGCAGAAGAATGTCTATACTTGCCCCAGGATGGCCCTAGGTAGGGTAACAGGGCGCAGGGAGGCCCTGCCTCTGGAGACGCACTTCTGTTTCTGTCCCGTATCCTTCTCAGTTCAGAGTACCTAAAACTCCATCTCCACCTCCCTTCTCAAACTCAGTTCTTTGAGGTGGCATTTTAGGCACCCTCCTTGGCTCCAAGTGTCACACTGTGTGCCGGCTTCCCCCCAACTATCACACCGCCTCCAGTACTAACAACTTAGCCATCCCAGATGTCACAGTTTTAGTCTTCAGCGACAAGCCCCCTCATTTTGCATTGGCTCAGAGAGGAAAAGCAACTTGGCCA
This sequence comes from Homo sapiens, assembly GCF_000001405.40. Classification (NCBI taxonomy): domain Eukaryota; kingdom Metazoa; phylum Chordata; class Mammalia; order Primates; family Hominidae; genus Homo; species Homo sapiens. The sequence goes on along the minus strand of NC_000022.11, from coordinate 31,123,397 downwards.
AGGTCACACAGCAAAGGTGGAGCACAGCTGGGTCCTCTGATACCCAGTCCAGGACTCTCCCAAGGGCTCCTGGAGATGGCTAACTTCATCTGTCTCCGGGCATCCTGTCACTGCCCCTCAGCCCCCAGGGTGCTCTCTTCACCTAGCCCCTGCTCGCTGAGCAGAGGAAAGTACCAGCCCCTCAGTCAGGAGCACCAGGGAGCCTGCAGTGTATGTGGGGGGGGTGTGTGGAACCAGGGATCAGGAAAGCGGGGGGCACTGGGTCTCAGGGGTCTTACCTTGGAGGGTGCCCCAGTTTGGGCAACACCCTGGGGCATGGGCAGGGAACCCAGGCCAGCCCGGGTCCCTGGCCTCCTGCTGCCCCTGCTGCTCTGGCCCTCCATGTCTGCAGCCCCCGGCAGCCTGGACTCCCTTGGCTCCGGCTCCAGCTCTACCGCTCCCGGGAACCAGTGATGTCATCAGCCATTTCAACCTGCTGAGAATTTAAAGGCACAGGCTCCCACTTCCCAGCCTGGAAGAGGCCGAAGCAAGGTGGCTACCCCCTGGGAATCCTTCAAACTGGCTGCTGAGGCTGGAACAGCCATGGAGTGGGGAGGGGAGAGTGTACCCATCTGCCTGGCCCAGGTCCCAACTGGCAGCAGGAAGGAGGCTGTCTGTCTACCTTCACCTTTCTGCCGTAGGCCTGGTCAGCCCTTTGCTCCAGGGAGGGGCATTAACACACCTGCCTTAAGGTAGGACAGGTGGTTCAGAGGTCTGCACCCTCTCCAGGGCCTCAGAGACAACTGAGTTCTTGCCCTGATCCTGTGACCTTCCTGGCTCCCTGCCAGCTCAGAGCTTGCCCCGGCCCCCACCCTTGCCCCATTTTCAGGTCTTGGTGCCACCCTCTCCACTCCTACTGCCAGTCCCAGGCTCTATTCTTCCCAACCCAGAACCAGACACTCAGGCTCCAGCCACTGCAGTCTTTTCCCATCTCAGGCCTCAGCACCAGCCCCTCCTCTTCTGCAGACACCTAGCTGCCCTCAGATGTCCCCACAGCCAGGCCTAACCCAGCCCGGCTTCTGTCAGCTTTCTTCTCTCCAGTATTCACTGGGTGTGGTTTGGGAGGGGAACTTGCTCAAGGTCACCTGGTGAACTGAGAAGGTCTCCTGTGTTTCAGTGAGAAAACTTAGTGACCTAGGATGAGCACAAGCCCTTCGAGCTATCTGGGGGAAGGGAACTTGGGTGGAGAAGGGCCCAGCAGTGGGGTAACAGACTGACAAGAGAGTTACAAACAGGCCTGAGAATTGCTACAGCCAGGACCCAGCCCAGGACATGGTCCCCAACAGGCCTACGGGAGTGTTTGTTGAATGAATAAATGAATTAGAAGAGTGAATGGGTGATGAGGGTCAGATTGGGCTGGGATGGCTGTGGGATCTGTTTCTCATGGCTTAGAGAGGAGTGATCCCACCCACTTTAGGCAGAAAGTGTTCAGAGTTGTGTGTGCAGAGCTCCCTGTTAACCAACATGGAGCATCTGCATGGGCCTGTGCAGTCTCCTACATGAAGGCAGATGCCTCACTTTCCTCTCCTGAAGGCACTTCCTACCTCTGCTTGACTGTCAGTAGGTCTAGTCTGTATTCTCAGGCCAGCATCTCTGCTGGAATTTGCAGGGGCAGAGACTCAGGCCATATTAGAGTGTTGGGGTAGAAAGGTCTTTGGACAGCGATAGTGGAGATGGTGACAGTGGTGACGGGGAAGGCGACTGTGGTGATGGATGTGATGATGTATGTAACTGTGATGATGGAAGTAGGGGGCTAGCAGTGGTTGTGGTGAAGGTGGTGGAGGTGATGGTGATGGCAAAGGTAGAGGTGATGATGATACCAATACTGATGATGGTGTTGTGTCAATGAAAGAGGTAGTGTTGGAGTTGGAGGTGACAGTCAGGGAGGATGTGAGAGTAGACCTGGTGGTGATGCTCAGGTTACCAGAAAAAGGAAGATTCGAACTCATCCTGTCTTATCCTCTGTCTCCTGTTTTACAAATAAGAAAATGGGAGCCCCCGGGCTGGGGGAGTACTGGCAAAGTGCGGGTAATCCCAGCACTTTGGGAGGCTGAGGTGGGCAGATCACCTGAGGTCAGGAGTTCGAGACCAGCCTGGTCAACATGGCGAAACCCCATCTCCACTAAAAATATAAAAATGAGCCGGGTGTGGTGGTACATGCCTGTAGTCTCAGCGACTTGGGAGGCTGAGACAGGAGAATTGTTTGAACCTGGGAGGTGGAGGTGGAGGTTGCAATGAGCCAAGATCGTACCACTGCACTCCAGCCTGGGTGACAGAGAGAGGCCCTGTCTCAAAAAAAAAAAAAAAAAGAAAGAAAGAAAAGAAAAAAGAAAAAGAAAATGGGAGCCCCCAAGACTACCCAGCTTTTCATGCAATCCTAGAGGGAATGATGGGCAGATCCAGGCCTCTGGGACCAGTCCTAAGGCTCAGCCATCTAGGGCTGGGACAGGGGCATCAGTGCCCTTTGGAAGCCAGGCAAATGTCATGCAAATGTGTCTGCAGAGGGCTCCTCTGCCTCAGGAGGGCAACCCAGGATTTCCCACCACCCGCTCCCTGAGCTCAGACCCTGCAGGGGACTTTGTTTCTGGCCCTGCCACTGACTTACTTGAGGAGGTCACTCTGATTCCCAATTTGTGTAAGGGAGATTAAAACAGCAGACACCTCCTAAGTTTGCTGGTGAAGATTCAACAGGATAATATATATGAAATGTTTAGCATAGAGCCTGCCTGGCACAGCAAGCTCTCCATAAAGGTGGCTGCTCTGTATTTATCATCATCATCATCACCACCATTGACTTCAGCCTGCCCATGTGGTGGATGCTGAAACAGGCTGAGGGTGGTTACTCTCCTGGGAGGACAAGGAAGGGGCTCTGAGACCCAAGCCTGGTCTTGTCAGGAGAAGGGGGTAGGGGGCGGACCCCAGCTGAAAAGGGAGTGAGTTGGAGCTATATTTGAGCTCCTGGTGTGATGACTAAGGAGGTTGATAACAGGCTCTGGGGCTCAGGGCGGCAGGCTGGGGGCAGCTGTCAGGGAGAACCGCCCCCCTGGAGACGGCTGTCTCTGGAGGCCCTTTCTGGCTCCCTCCTTGCCCTCACTCTTGGTGGGGGAGGGGGGTGGGCGTACTGAGGCAGGGTCCAGGGCTCATCCAGCCCACTCCTGGAAACTCAGTGCTGTCCTTCAGGCTGTGTGGGTCAGGGATAGGAAGGCAGGATGCCAGTGATAGATGGAGTATCCCAGTTACTCTCCATAGTAACCCTGTGAGGTTGGTAATGAGGCCCCCATTGGACAGAGGAAGAAACCGAGGCCCAGGGATTACACAGCCAGTAGAGAGAGGACAGAGCATGGAGCTCCTGGAGAGGCAGTGGATAATTCTTCCCGACAGAGGAGCTGACTGTTGAACCCCTTCTTTGAAGGAGAGTCCGTGCTGCCAAATCGAAGAAGAGAAACGCCCTGGCTGGAAAGCAGAGAGAACAGCAGGTACAAAGCATGGATGGGGAAGGAAGGTTCTGGCTGTGAAAGGATGAGAAATTTGGACATGTACCCTCCTGCCCTTTGGTTCGGAGTAAACATGAGCAGGGAAGGGAGAGAAGTCTTTCCTGTCTTTTTCCTCCTCCTCTTCCTCGGTTCACTTTCCAGGGGCACCTGAGGATGGCAACGGTACCGAGGGTCTGTCCTCCTTCCTTTCTCTCCCTGGTCACCCTGACCCAGGCCCGCCATGAGGGAGGTCATGCTATGGCTACCATCTGCAAAGGTGTAGAGGGTGATACAGGATATTGTGGGAATGTGAAAGAAGGGGTTATCTGGGAGGGCTTCCCTGAGGAGGAAGTATACAGGGCACAAAAGAGCATTTCTTCTCCCAAGGCTTCACTCCAGGGTTTCTTGTTGGTAACAAGCTTCACATGTTATGTCCCCAGCACTTCATTCTCACCCTCTGAGGCAGATGTCATCCTCACTCCCCATTCTGCCACTCAGGAAATGGGCTGGAGGAGGAGGAGTGACTTTCCCAAGGTCACACAGCTGGGGCTGAGCTCAGGCCTCTCTCCTCCTTCTCTTCGGCTCCCCCTCCTCCTAGGCAGCCCAGCACCCGCTGTCAGCTGCTCTGAAGTGAGTGGCTATTTTTATTCTGGTGCGAGGGGATCTCAAGCAGCAGAGCCATGTAGGTTAGAGGCTCTAGGACACCCGGCCTCAGCAGTCCAGGGGAAACTTCCTGCAGCCACCAGACCCTGCTAAGCTTGCCTGGGGGCTCTCATTTCTTGCAGACTGACTTGCTCTGGGCTCCTATGCCTCCAGAAGCTTCTTTATTGGAGCTCAGAACAGAGCATAGAGCCAGATTAAGCCCTGGTCATGGTCCTGATCCTCCAACTTGAACCCGACTCTTGGTATTGACTAAGCCTCTACTCCAGCTCTTGACTGAGCTCTGACATCACCTTAGAATGAACCCTGACTCTAGTCACATACTGATCTAAGCCTGAATTAGGCTGATCCCAACTTGAGACCTTAGTTCTGGGCCCAGATCAAGCCCTTATCCTTCTCTAAGACTGAGCCTTAGTCACAGACTGAATTCTAGCCCCAGCCCAGACTAACCTTTTAGACTGACTCTGGCAGAAGAGTCAGACTAACCTTTTAACCCTGACTCTGGCAGAAGACTGAGCCCTAATCTTGGTCAAAGACTGAGTCCTGAGCCTAATCATTGACTGAACTCTGACCACAGACTGAATTCTGACCCTGGATCATGCAATTCTGGTCACACACTGAGCCCTAAACGGAAGACTGTGCCCTGAATCTGGTCACAGACTGAGCCCTGAACTTAGTCATTGACAGAGACATGACCCTGGTCACAGACTGAGCCTGGCTCCTGGTCACAGACTAAAGACTAAGCCCAATCATGGACTGAGCCCTGTATCTAGCCCTAGGCTACAGACTACTCAACTAAGGGCTGACCTAGACCCTGTCTGAGCCTGACCCCATCACAGACTAATCCCCAACCTTGGCCCCACTTGAGGAAGACTGCTGGCCTAAATTACATGCTGCCACATAAGAGGCATGGATTATGGGCAGAGATCTGTCTTGGGAGATCTTGGGCTTCTCATGCTGCTGATGCCACAGTGTTCCTTCCTGGTACTGTTATGGTCACAGTCTCCACCACTGGTTCCACTGGCTGGTTGGTCAACCCTCAGCAGCCCAAGCTGTGGCCTTTAGGGGCCACAGCATCCAGGCTAATGCAATGAGAGTGGTTTGGTGGCATCTGTCCAGCAAACAACCAGGGCCCATGGGGTACTGGGGTTTGGCTCTGTCAGCAGCAAGAACGACTCCGTGGGGCCTCTGGCTTCAGTTACTCTGAGGCCCTTGCTGGGGTAGGGGTTGGAGTAGAAGGAAATAGTGGGGTATGTCCCATTATTTTCGTAAATAAAGTTTACTGTTTGTGTTTAGGTAATCCATGCCCATTACACAAAACACAGAAGGAAAACATTTACCTATAATTTCATCCACCAAGAAATAATCGTTCTGACTTATTGGTTTGTTTCCTTATAGATATTTTTTGGTGGGGGCGGGGGTCTAGGCATATATATTTATATATACATGTTGTATATAATATGCATATATATTTATATACATGTTGTATATAATATGCATATATATTTATATACATGTATATTTACATATACGTGTTATATATTTTATATAGCTATATCTATTTTTTGAGATGGAGTCTCACTCTGTCGTCCAGGCTGGAGTGCAGTGGCATGATCTCAGCTCACTGAAACCTCCACCTCTGGTCCAAGCAATTCTCCTGCCTCAGCCTCCCGAGTAGCTGGGATTACAGACATGCACCACCATGCCCAGCTAATTTTGTATTTTTAGTAGAGACAGGGTTTTGCCTTGTTGACCAGGCTGGTCTTGAACTCCTGGACTCAAGTGATCCACATGCCTTGGCCTCCCAAGTGCTGGGATTACAGGCGTGAGCCACCAAGACTGGGCCTATACATGTTTTATAGAATTGGTTGGTTACTGTGTTGCTGCCACAATGTCCAGCAACACAGTAGGGTTAGGGTTAGGGTTAGGATCCTGTTAAGGTTGCAGCCCATCTCCTTCTTAACAGGAACTGGAATATGGTGGACCCCACCCTCAGCTTCAGGAATGGGTCCCAGTTGGTTAAGCCAGTAAGCAATTCCCATTTCCCCAGGCACATGATTAGATCACGAATGAACTAGCAAGATACAAGGAAATTTTTGCTCAGGGCTTTTGGGAAAGGAAGCTTATTTTCTCTCCTGAGGAGGCTGCCAAAAAAGATGATCTTCCTTCCATTAGATGTAAATGAAGAGGCCAATGGCTCTAGTTACTGCTGGCAGCCATCTTTACACCATGTAGAAAATTGGCCTACTGATAAACTGACATTATGGAAAGCAGAATGGAGAGACACCAGGCTTTGGTGACTTCATTAACTGGATCAAACTTCACCTGAAGCCCCACCTGCCATTGGACTTTTTTTTTCTTCTTTTTGAAATGGAGTCTCAATCTGTCGCCCAGGCTGGAGTACAGTGGCACGATCTTGGCTCACTGCAACCTCCGCCACCCAGGTTCAAGCGATTCTCCTGCCTCAGCCTCCCGAGTAGCTGGAGTTACAGGTGCCCACCGCTGCGTTTGGCTAATTTTTGTATTTTTAGTAGAGACGGGGTTTCGCCATGTTGGCCAGGCTGGTTTCAAACTCCTGACCTTAGGTGATCTGCCCGCCTCAGCCTCCCAAATTGCTGGGATTACAGGCGTCAGCCACTGTGCCTGTCCTGGACTTTTAAAATTATTTGAGCCAACAGAGTCCCTTTATTTATTTATTTATTTAGAGACTGAGTGTCGCTCTGGCACCCAGGCTGGAGTGCAGTGGCGCAATCTTGGCTCACTGAAACTTCCACCTCCCGGGCTCAAGCAATTCTCTTCCTCAGCCTCCTAAGTAGTTGGGATTACAGGTGTGCACCATCATGCCCAGCTAGTTTTTGTGTTTTTAGTAGAGAGGGGGTTTCACCATGATGGCCAGGCTGGTCTCCATCTCCTGACCTCAAGTGATCTGCCTATCTCGGCCTCCCAAAGTGCTGGGATTACAGGCATGAGCCACTGGGCCCAGCCCCTTTATTTTTATTATTTTTTGACACAGGGTCTTACTCACATTGCCCAGGCTAGAGTGCAGTGGTACGATCTTGGCTCACTGTATTATTTTTTATTTTTTATAGGAGATGGGGTCTCACTCTGTCTCCCAGGTTAGAGTGCAGTGGCATGATCATAGCTCACTGTAGTCTTGAACTCCTGGGCTCAAGCAGTCCTCCCACCTCAGCCTCTGGGGTAGCTGGGACTACAGGCACTGCCATGCCTGGCTAGATTTTAAATATCTTTTTTTAGAGATGGGTTCTCACTATGTTGTCCAGGATAGTTTGGAACTCTTGGCCTCAAGTTATCCTCCTGCCTCAGCCTCCTGAGTAGCTGGGTTTATAGACACAAGCCACCACAACCAGCTCCCTTTATTGTTTAAGCCAGTTTAAATTGGGGTTTCTATGACTTGCAGCCCACAGCATCACAACTCCCAATTGATATTACCAGATTACTGTTTTTGTTGCTTTTTTCTTGCTATTTAATACCATAACCACGAACATTCTCCATGTCATTCCATCTATGCTGCATCTTTTTTTTTTTTTTTGAGATAGAGTCTCACTCGCCCAGGCTGGAGTGCAGTGGTGCGATCTCAGCTCACTGCAACCTCTGCCTCCTGGGTTCAGGCAATTCTCTTGCCTTAGCCTCCCAAGTAGCTGAGATTACAGGCAGCCATCACCATGCCCAGCTAATTTTTATATTTTTAGTAGAGATGGGGCTTCACCATATTGGCCAGGCTGCTCTCAAACTCCTGACCTCAGGTGATCCGCCCACCTCGGCCTCCCAAAGTGCCGGGATTACAGGCGTGAGCCACCCACGCCCAGCCTGCTGCATCATTTTTAACAATTGCATGGTTTTCCATCCTATGGAGGTACACTCATTAATTTAACTCATCCCCTGCTGTGACATGCTTAGGTTATATCCCCAGTTCTTCACCACGATAAATGGTATTCTAATAAACAAGCTTGACCTAACAATCCTCTCTCTGATGATTACTTTGGGGCTAATTCTGAAAAATGGAATTACTGGGTCAAAAAAAGTTTTTAGAGTTTTGATTTTGCCCTTCAGAAAGCCAGGGTGAATTCATACTTCCCCAGCAGTGAACAGAGTGTTAGAGATAGCTTACTGTGTGAATAGTCTGGACAAGACTAATCATATTGACTACATACTCATATTATATATATATATATATATATATATATATATATATATATATATATATATTTTTTTTTTTTTTTTTTTTTTTTTTTTTTTTTTTGAGACGGAGTCTTGCTCTATCACCCAGGCTGGAGTGCAGTGGCACAATCTTGGCTCACTGCAGCCTCTGCCTCCCGGGTTCAAGTGATTCTCCTGCTTCAGCCTCCCAAGTAGCTGGGATTATAGGCATGCACCACCATGCCTGGCTAATTTTTGTATTTTTAGTAGAGACGAGGTTTCACCATGTTGGCCAGGTGGCCTCGAACTTCTGACTCAAGTGATCTCCCTGCCTCAGCCTCCCAAAGTGCTGGGATTATTGGTATGAGCCACCATGCCCGGCCAAGCCTATTATTTTTATATCTTTACAATCAAGTTAGTAAAGGGGAAGTTAGCAGGGTGCAAACAAAAGACTCAGTGCAGACTTAACTTCTCTAGAAGGCACAGTAGGCTCAGTGTTTAGGGCCCACTATACTTTTAGGGGGTCCATGAAAGTGTTTTTTTTTTTTTTTGAGACGGAGTCTCGCTCTGTCACCCATGCTGGATGGAGTGCAGTGGCGTGATCTCGGCTCACTGCAAGCTCCGCCTCCCGGGTTCACGCCATTCTCCTGCCTCAGCCTCCCGAGTAGCTGGGACTACAGGTGCCCGCCACCACGCCTGGCTAATTTTTCGTATTTTTAGTAGAGACGGGGGGGTTTCACTGTGTTAGCCAGGATGGTCTCAATCTCCTGACCTTGTCATCCGCCCGCCTCGGTCTCCCAAAGTGCTGGGATTACAGGCGTGAGCCACCGCGCCTGGTCGAAAATGTTTTTAATATTCTTTAAAATTAGAAGGATACACTGGGAAGTTAAGGTTAAAAAAAAAAGGAAACATATACTAATAATAATGAATCCAGCCTAGATTATAGTTATCTTTTTACCAAAGCAATTGAAAATCAAATATATATAATATTTATGTATATTATGTATATTTAATGGAGGCATGTGTCCATATCCCAGCTACTCAGGAGGCTAAGGCAGGAGCATTGTTTGAGGCCAGGAGTTGAACACTAGCTGGGACAACACAGAAAGACCCTGTCTCTAAAAAAAAAAAGAAAAAAGAGGCCAGGCACAGTGGCTCATGCCTGTAACCCCAGCATTTTGGGAGGCGGAGGCGGGCGGATCACTTGAGGTTGAGACCAGCCTAACATGGTGAAATCCTGTCTCTACTAAAAATAAAAAAAATTATCCGGGCATGATGGCACGCTCCTGTAATCCCAGCTACACAGGAGGCTGAGACACGAGAATCGATTGAACCTAGGAGGTGGAGATTGCAGTGAGCCAAGATTGTGCCACTGCACTCCAGCCTGGGCGACAGAGCAAGACTCCGTCTCAAAATAAAAATAAAAATTAAAAAAAGAAAAAAGAAAGAAAACCCTAGGATCCATGAAAGTCATAATGCAGCCTTGGCTCGGTATTGAGAAGGAGTCCCTAGATTCAATGGGAAAAGAGGACAGTGACGAACTTGCTGTGTCTGTGGAAGAAAGCATGAAGAAGAGAACTGGCATCCTAATCTGGTGATCTGGTGATCCGTTCTCCTTTTTTTTTTTTTTTTTAATTGTAGGCATTTTATCTGCAAATGCATATTACCTCCTTAGAAAAAGAATTCCAGGATTTTACCTCCTGTGTGTTTTCGTCTTGCTTCTTTGTGATCCATGATGCCAGCTGAGGTTGTGAGTACAATGAAACCCAACTGGCAGGATGGGAGCAGATTATTCTGCCATTTTTCTAGATTTTTGAGTTGCACATCAAATCAGGGGCTGATTACTCCACACTTGTTTAACCTGCCTGTGAGGTTCACAGCAGTTTTCCTAGCTCTGTGATCATCAATGACTTCAACTTCACCAGTGTAACTATGCTTCATCACCACAGTTAGAAACCAGACGACGACATTATAAGAACCTGGTGTTTGCCTCTCTTTTGGCATTGTTGATGCTCTTGAGAGCATCAGCCGGGACATTCATGCACACCATTATGGCAGCACATGGCAGAAAGAGCTATCTGCTTATGTATGAGATTGAGAGGTGAAGCCAGCTGGACTTCCTGGGTGGAGTGGGGACTTGGAGAAATTTTCTGTCTAGCCAGAGGATTATAAATGCACCAATCAGCGCTCTGTGTCTAGCTGAAGAATTGTAAATGCACCAATCAGCACTCTGTAAAAATGCACCAATCAGTGCTCTGTGTCTAGATAGAGGATTGTAAATGCACCAATCAGCACTCTGTAAAATGGACCAATCAGCACTCTGTAAAATGGACCAATCAGCAGGATGTGGGCGGGGACAAATAAGGGACTAAAAGCTGGCCGCCACTGCCACCCTTCATCCCCAGCCAGCAGCCGGCAACCTGCTTGGGTGCCCTTCGGTGCTGTGGAAGCTTTGTCCTTTCGCTCTTCCCAATAAATCTTGCTGCTGCTCACTCTTTGGGTCCTCACCACCTTTAAGAGCTGCAACAGCCTGTAATCCCAGCACCTTGGGAGGCCAAGGTGGGCGGATTACGAGGTCAGGAGATCAAGACCACCCTGGCTAACACGGTGAAACCCCATCTCTACTAAAAATACAAAAAATTAGTTGGGCATGGTGGTGGGCATCTGTAGTCCCAGTTACTCGGGAGGCTGAGGCAAGAGAATGGCGTGAACCCAGGAGGCAGAGCTTGCAGTGACCTGAGATTGTGCCACTGCACTTCAACCTGGGGGCGACAGAGCGAGACTCCGTCTCAAAAAAAAAAAAAAAAAAAAAGAAAGAAAGAAAAGAAAAATAGAAAAAAGAGAGTTGTATCACTCACCGTGAAAGTCCGTGGCTTCATTCTTGAAGTCAGTGAGACCACTAACCCACTGGAAGGAAGAAACTCCAGACACATTTGAAGGAACAAACTCTGGACACACCATCCTTAAGAGCTGTAACACTCACAGTGAAGGTCCGCGGCTTCATTCTTGAAGTCAGTGAGACCACCAACCCACTGGAAGGAAGAAACTCCGGACTCTCAAGATGAGTGCAGAGACATGTTGGGTTCAAGTCCCAAATCCACAGTTCACTCATTTCACCTTTCTGAGCCTGTTTCCTAACCTGCAAAATGGAGTTCACGGGGTCTTTATGAGGTAAGGAAGGAACTGATAATGAAAGCTAACACTGTCCTAGTAGGTACTTTTTTTTTTTTTTTTTTTTGAGTCAGAGTCTCATTCTGTCGCCTGGCTGGAGTGCAGTGGCGCGATCTCGGGTCACTGCAACCTCCGCCTCCCAGGTTCAAGTGATTCTCCTGCGTCAGCCTCCCGAGTAGCTAGGATTACAGGCATGCACCACCACACCTGGGTAATTTTTTTGTATTTTTAGTAGAGACGGGGTTTCACCATGTTGGCCAGGATGGTCTTGATCTCTTGACTTCGTGATCTGCCCGCCTCAGTCTTTTTTTTTTTTTTTTTTTTTTGAGACAGTCTCACTGTGTCGCCCAGGCCGGAGTGCAGTGGTGCGATCTCGGCTCACTGCAACCTCCACCTCCCGGGTTGAAGCGATTCTCCTGCCTCAGCCTCTGGAGTAACTGGGACTACAGGTGCCCGCCACTATGTGCCCAGCTAAATTTTTTTTTTTTTTTTTGAGACAGAATTTTGCTCTTGTTCCCCAGGCTGGAGTGCAGTGGCGCCATCTTGGTTCACTGCAACCTCCGCCTCCGGGTTCAAGCAAATTTTCCTGCTTCAGCCTCCCGAGTAGCTGGGATTACAGACATGAGAATCATGCCTGGCTAAGTTTTGTATTTTTAGTAGAGGTGGGGGGTTTCACCATGTTGGTCAGGCTGGTCTCGAACTCCTGACCTCAGGTGATCCACCCACCTTGGCCTCCCAAAGTGCTGGGATTACAGGCATGAGCCACCATGCCCGTCCTGTATTAGGTACTGTTCTAATGAGCTTTATATGTGTTAACCCCTTTATCCTGCCAATCCCAACAGGGTACACAATATTGCATCACCACAATGTGTGCTCTGGGAAGTAAAAACCTTGATTGGAATTTTTGTCCAAAGAAATAAAAAGGCCAGGTGGAGTGGCTCACACCTGTAATTCTAGCACTTTGGGAGGCTGAGGCAGGAGGATCACTTGAGACCAGGAGTTTGAGACCAGCCTGGTCAGCAGCAAGACCCCGTAATCTACTGAATAAACAAACAGCGCAAACAGGGATTCCCTAGGGTTCGGTTTTCCTATCTCTTTTTTTCTACAACCAAATTGGTTTATTACAGGAATGCAAGGTTTAACATATGAAAATCAGTTCACATATTTTACCACATTTAATAAAATAAAGGAGAAAAACCACATGATCATCTCAATAGATGCAGGAAAACATTTGACAAAGTTCAACATCCATTCATGATAAAAGCTCTAAGAAAAATAGAAATAGAAAACTTTCTTTTACAAAAGGCACCAGTAACAAACCTACAGCAAACATGATCGTTTAAAGATGATATCTGGAAAAAGACAATTATCAGTTCCAGTCAACATTGTACCAGAGGCCCCAGACCGTAAAATTAAGACAGTGCAACGAAACAAAACCAAGGTATAAGGACCAGAAAGGAAGAAAACCACTTTTATTTCCAGATGATATAATATGCATATGTAGAAAATAAAAAAAAATATCCAGTTAAACTATTAGAGTAAGAAAATTCAGTAAGGTCACTGGCTGCAAGGTTAATATACAAAAATCAATTGTCTTCCTATATGCTACTACCAAGCAACTTGAAAATGAATATGTAAAAACAATAGAGTTTGTAATGCTATAAAAAATTAAATACCTAGGAGTAAATCTAATGAAAGATATGCAAGATATTTATTCTAAAAACCACAAAATATTATTGAAGGAAATTAAAGAAGACCTATAGAAATGGAGGGACTTACTATGTTCGTGGAAGAAAAGTCACAATAATGTAAAGCTGTAGAGTCTCCCCACATTGATTTCCCCAGTGGGAATCTGAAATCCTGATAGAAATTTGGAAGGTTTTTCTGTGGAGGTTGACGAGCTGGCCCTAAATTGTACCTGGAAGTGTGAAAGGCCAAGTATAGTCAAGACAACCTTCAAGAAGAACAAAGCTAGACTGCGATGGCTTACTGAGGCTGTGGGATCACACATGGCCCTCACCACAGGAAAATGTAGGCCACAGGCCAGGCATGGTCGCTCATGCCTGTAATCCCAGTACTTTGGGAGGCCAAGGCAGGAGGATCACTTGAGCCCAGGAGTTTGCGACCAGCTTGGTCAACATGGTGAAACCTCGTCTCTACTAAAAAGACAAAAAATTAGCCGGGTGTGGTGGCCGACGCCTGTAATCCCAGCTACTTAGGAGGCTGAGGCAAGAGAATCGCTTGAACCTGGGAGGCAGAGGTTGCAGTGAGTCCGGATCATGCCACTGGACATGAGAGTGTCCAGCCTGGACAATGAGAGTGAAACTCCGTCTCAAAAAAAAAAAAAAAAAATCAGCTGGGCATGATGGTGCATGCCTGTAGTCCCAGCTACTCAGGAGGCTGAGGTGGGAGGATTGCTTGAGCCTGGGAGGTTCAGGCTGTGATTGAGCCACTGCACTCCAGCCTGGGCAACAGAGCAAGACTCTGTCTCAAAAAAAAAAAAAAAATAGCCAGCCCAGCAGCTCACACCTGTAATCCCAGGACTTTGGGAGGCCAAGGCGGGTGGATGACTTGAGGTTAGGAGTTCGAGACCAGCCTGGCCAAGATGATGAAACCCCCATATTTACTAAAAATACAAAATTAGCTGGGCGTGGTGGTGGGCACCTGTAATCCCAGCTACTTGGGAGGCTGAGGCAGAAGAATCGCTTGAACCTGGGAGGTGGAGGTTGCAGTGAGCTGAGATCGTGCCACTGCACTCCAGCCTGGCTGACAGAGCAAGACTCTGTCTCAAAAAAACAAACAAACAAAAAAACAAAAAAAAATGGGCCAGGCGCAGTGGCTCACACCTGTTATCCCAGCACTTTGGGAGGCTGAGACGGGCGGATCATGAGATCAGGAGATCAAGAACATCCTGGCTAACACAGTGAAACCCCATCTCTACTAAAAATACAAAAAAATTAGCTGGGCGTGGTGGCGCGTGCCTGTAGTCCCAGCTACTCGGGAGGCTGAGGCAGGAGAATTGCTTGAACCCGGGAGGCGGAGGTTGCAGTGAGCCGAGATCAGGCCACTGAACTCCAGCCTGGGCAACAGAGCGAGACTCCGTCTCAAAAAAAAAAAGAAAGAAAGAAAGAACAAAGCTAGAGGACCAACACACAACCAGATGTCAAGTCTGACTATAAAGCTATAGTTAATAAGACAGCGTAGTTAGACAAACCCACTGAAGGACTAGAATAGGGTATGATATTCAGAAGTAGACTCCCATATATTTATATGGTTACCTATTTATTTATTTATTTATTTTTGAGACAGTCTCTGTCGCCCAGGCTGGAGTGCAGTGGTAGGATGTCGGCTCATTGCAAACTCTGCCTCCCAGGTTGAAGTGATTCTCCTGCCTCAGCCTCCCAAGTAGCTAGGATTACAGGCGCCCACACCACGCCCAGCTAATTTTTGTATTTTTAGTAGCGATGGGGTTTCACCATGTTGGCCAGGCTGGCCTCGAACTTCTGACCTCAAGTGATCTACCCACCTCGGCCTCCCAAAGTGCTGGGATTACAGGTGTGAGCCACCACGCCCGGCCGTGGTTGCCTATTTATATATAACAGAGGTAACGCGGCAGAGTAGCAATGAAAAAGACAAGATTTTTAATTGAATTGGATAGCCACATTAAAAAAAAAAGTAAATCCTGACTCCATAAATTTAACCCAGCTGATTTAAGACCCTGTTGTGGCCTATCAGCTGTAACCCTCCTTGCATTTTCCCACCTTTGAATAGCAAATTCCTTTCCTCACCCCAGGTCAGAAAGTCTGCTCAGCAGTAGCTGTGGATGGTAAGAAGACACGCTGGTAGGTCTCAGTGGCTCCCAGAAGCCGCACCCCCTCCACCGAACCTCACTCCTCATCTCCCACGCTCCAAAGCGAGGAGTCCTCAGAAAGCCAGTTTCCCTTATTTATTCTTCTTTCTTTCTTTCCTTTTTTTTTCTTGGATGTCCTACCAGTTTCCCTATCTTAAAGTCGCAGGTTCGGCTCAGAAACTCCAGTGTCCCTCAGCGTCTCGCCGGCACCCTCTGCCGGCGTGAGGTGGCGCTGCCTGGCCGCATCCTGGGGGAGCGTCCACATCCTCGGTCGACAAAAGGAGCGTCGACACTCTCGGACCTGGGAAAGTGACGGCCCAAACGCCAGGGAGGAGCCAGGACCTCGCCCTGAGCTAGCGGGAGGTAACGGCGGGGAGTCCTGGGGCGGAGACCGAGCGCTGGGGGCGTGGTCTCCAGCGGGACTGGGCCTCTAGCGGGAGTGGGGGCGGGGGCGGGGGCGGGGCCAGCCTGGGGGCCCAGACGTGGCGCAGCGACTCGGAGGTTCGCCTCCAGCTTGCGCATCATCTGCGGCCGGGTCCCGATGAGCCTCCTGTTGCCTCCGCTGGCGCTGCTGCTGCTTCTCGCGGCGCTTGTGGCCCCAGCCACAGCCGCCACTGCCTACCGGCCGGACTGGAACCGTCTGAGCGGCCTAACCCGCGCCCGGGTAGAGGTGAGTACGCCGGCCTCCAGCCCCGGCACTATCGTTCCCCAACCCTGCGGCCCCATGGGAGCACCGTCCGTCCCGGCCCCAAGACCACCTCGAACCGCGAGTCTCCCTGCTTTCCCCCTGGCGCCGGGACCATCCCTCCTGTTCCCTAGCCCCAGATGGCCCCAGCATCCACCGTGGAAGCCTGAGACACCGACTTTGGGGCCTGGAACTCCGAACCCTTCCCCAGCTCCCCCTACCCGGTCCGACAGCGGACACCCAGACACACTGACGCAGTCTCCTAACTCTTCTCGTGGCCTATGACTCCCAATCCTGTCCCAACTTCCCATCCCCCATCACTTCATGTTTTCCTGGAATTCCCCCCCGACCCGGTTCCAGGGCTGGAGGCTCCAGAAAGTCTCTTTTCCTTCTCCTGGGGGGAAAGAAGACTTTCTGGGTGCCTCCTCCCATATGCAGGATCCGGGGAAGGGGGCCAACTCGGAGGGGCAACCGAGTTGGGAACTTGGTTGCCAACATTTACTCTGCAGCAGCCTCCCATCCTCCCCCAACCAGGAAATTCCCGTTCGGAGTCCCTGTCTTGCTATGTGACTTTGACCATCACAGCCCGCCTCTGAGCTTTTTGTCAGCTCTGTCTGACAAAAGGGTGTAGAATGGTTGGGTGCCGGTGGTGCACGCCTGTAATCCCAGCACTTTGGGAGGCCAAGGCAGGAGGATTGCTTGAGCCCAGGAGTTCAAGACCAGCTTGGGGGACATAGTGAGACCCTGTCTCTAAGAAAAGGGCTGAGGGTAGGATGGAGGAGGGCTGGAGTGGGTGGTCCTGGGGTCTAGACTCCTGCTGGATGGTGGCATCTCCTCAGGGAAGGCAGGGAGGAGCCCTCCCATCCTCCCATGTCAGGGAAGCAACCACATGGTCTGTGGGGCTGGGCCGCAGGTGGCAGGCAGGGTGAGGTCTGCCTGTGTAGAGTAGGGACCAGATGGTAGGTGTCTCCAATGGGGGCCCCCAGGGCCATTCTGAGGTGTTTCCTTCTGCTCTGCCTCCACTGTGAGATTTCAGGGATCAAAGGCCAAGCCCAGGTCTCTACTGCTTAAGAGGAGCAGGGTGATCATTTCCCCTGGGCATTGGGAGTCAGTCCACAGCCAGTAGGATGTACAGGCCCCAAGGCTGGCAGGCACACTGTGGGTCTCTGGCCTTGCTCTTTTCCCCTGGTGTCTCTAGGCCTGAGTCTCCCCACCTGTATACACAGTTCCCCCTTCTGCCCACAAGGGTCCAGCATTTCCTTCAGACCTTGGGAACTGCTGATCCGGGGATAACTCACAGCCCGACCCAACTCAGGGATAAGGAAGTATGGCTTTGGGGATGTGACTGGAATAAACGTGAAGGACTCCTGACCTATCCCATTTTATCCCCCTCCAGACCTGCGGGGGATGACAGCTGAACCGCCTAAAGGAGGTGAGTTTGAAGGAAGAGGTCCCTAGCTCTGTTCCCCCTGAGCCTCTTGGGGAGTGGGCAACATGGTCCCAATGACTGGGGCGGGGAGGGGGGAAGGATCCCTAGGCTGAGAGTCTAGCCTAGGCTGAGAGTCTAGCCTGCACCTGACTTGCTTTATGACCTCACTGGGCTTCAGTGTCTCGTCTGTACCTCGAGTAGACTGAGGTCATGGTCTCTGATGCTCTGGTTCCTCCCCAGGTGAAGGCTTTCGTCACGCAGGACATTCCATTCTAGTATCCTTCTGTTCTGGGGGAGGGGAAATGGGATGGGCACCTGGGAGAATCTCCACGTAACTTCAGAAAGGGGTGGCAGATGGTTTTCAACTGACAAGTTGAATTGATTGGTAGTGGCTCCCAGAGGATTCTGAGGTGGTCTCCATGTTGGGTGGGCAAGAGAGATTGACTAGTGATGACTGCCACAGAATGGAGAGGAGGGCCCTTTACTTCTTTGAACCCTAATTTTCTCACGTATAAGCGGAGACCCTGGCCCCTCCCGGGCACAGAGTAAGCTCTGAGCAAAGGAGGCAATGCTGTTCCCATCAGTAAGGCTGCGGAAACCACCACCTCCCTCTGCCCACCACCCCGCTCCTTAACACCACCTCCAGTCACAACCTGGTGATGAAACACCTCCCTGGGGCCGACCCTGAGCTCGTGCTGCTGGGCCGCCGCTACGAGGAACTAGAGGTGAGGCCGTGGGAGGTGGGCTGGGGGCGAGGCCAGAGGCGAGGCCCAGCCTGCTGACCCCGCCCCTCCTCCGCCTCAGCGCATCCCACTCAGTGAAATGACCCGCGAAGAGATCAATGCGCTAGTGCAGGAGCTCGGCTTCTACCGCAAGGCGGCGCCCGACGCGCAGGTGCCCCCCGAGTACGTGTGGGCGCCCGCGAAGCCCCCAGAGGAAACTTCGGACCACGCTGACCTGTAGGTCCGGGGGCGCGGCGGAGCTGGGACCTACCTGCCTGAGTCCTGGAGACAGAATGAAGCGCTCAGCATCCCGGGAATACTTCTCTTGCTGAGAGCCGATGCCCGTCCCCGGGCCAGCAGGGATGGGGTTGGGGAGGTTCTCCCAACCCCACTTTCTTCCTTCCCCAGCTCCACTAAATTCCCTCCTGCCTTAACTGAGGCTCGACTCCTTCGTTGCTGCGGGCGGGTGGGGTGGGAGGTCGGAAGAAGAACCTCTGAGGATCCCTGCTGGAGTTGGAGACCTTGCGGAGCTGCCTTCGGTTCAAACCCCCTCCCCACCCCCAGGAGACGCAGAGAGGAGTCAGGATCGTTGAAAACCAATAATTTATCAAAACGCTGCGTGTGTATGTGGGGGGGAGGGTGTCGCAACAGACAGGGCAGCGGTGGGCGGACGCACAGGCAGGAGACGGTGCCCGGAGAGTGGGGGCGGCAGCTTGCCACTGGCTGGCCATGCGGGCGGGCAGGCTAGACATTCTTGCCGCGCAGGCGCAGTTCGTGGCGTCGCAGGTGGTTGTAGAGCGACTGCACATAGGTGAAGACACACTTGGGGTCAGGCTTCTTGCCCATGATCATCATGTCGTCCACCTCCACCAGGGGCACACAGTCCACCAGCATCCTGCAGGGAGGGGGCACGGGGTTGGATGTCAGCGCCAGACCCGCCTCTCGTGGCGCCCCTCTACCCCAAGGTCTTTTTTATTGCCGCATTGCCTGCTGGTCTTTCATAAACTCCAGACAGGGAAAAGCCTTCCAGGAAGGCAGGAAGCCCCTGGCTTCATCTACCCAAGCCTGGAGGCATCTCTCGGGGCGGGGGAGCAGAGCTAGGCAGGTGGAGGCGGAGATGGCAGAAGAGAGCCCCATCCCAGTCAGGCAGGTCCTGGGTCTGCTTCCTCCAACCCTGGGGAGGTGCTGGCTCCAAACCCTGCCCATGTTCTCCCTGGAGACCACCTTCTGCTCACCCTCACTGGCACACTCCAGTTGGTAGAAGCCTCTCAGCTCGGCCTTTGCACCCAGATGGGCTTCATCACTGGCCAATCTTTATCTATGGATAGGTCTCACTCTAGTGGCCCTGTGGTCCACCGATGATTGTCTGCTAGCTGCCTGATCTGGTACTTCCTGTTGAGAGGCCCAGGGACCCCTATTCTTTGACAGGGGGTGGGGATAACCCTGCTGCTGGAGATGGAGGCCAGGGAACGTGTGGGCAGCAGAGGGGTTCTCTAACCCTTATCACCTGCCTTGGGTAGAGCAGAGGAGGCAGATGAGGATCCCAGCCAATACCAATGGACCATCTATGCCATGCTCGGGGGGACCACCCTTCTGGCCATCCTTCAGAATGCTAGCTGCCCTTCACAGATAAGGAAACTGAGTCACAGAGCAGAGGAGCCATTTGTTTCAAGCCCCATGGCTTAGTAAGTGCAGGCTAGGCCGCATGGGACCCAGGCCCCCAGTTCTGGGTGTTGGCAAAGCCTTTTCCCCACTCTGGAGTGAGTGGGTTGTGCCTATTAAGCAACTGACAGCTCCCAGAGCTCTGAAGCTGGAGTCTGCTCTCTGGCTCCTTTTCCCCTGTCCCTCAACCCCCAGAGCAAGACCTCTTCTGCCTTGATCCCTCCTATCTGCCATACCTGGGACATAGCAAGCATTCAATGTTGCTGAATGAGTTTCCTATGGCAGGGAAGGCATAATGGCAACAATTGCTCCTTATTCTCAAGACACCTGAGAACCCAAGACCACCTCCCATCTCGTGCCCTTATGGACAAACTCAGAACTGTGGTAGGGCTGGGCCTACCCCCAGCTCACCTGGACTCCTTCAGAGAAGAAACCTGGGAGGCAGAACACCGAACACCTCTGTTTTAGTCCAGACTGTATCCCTAACCAGTTGTGGGTGCTAGATAAGGCCCTTTTCTATGACTGTTTCCCCCTCTTTAGAACAGGACAGTTATTCTCTATCTCATTTGAGACCTTACAAGAATTTAGGATGAGTGAGAGGGTTCTGGGTCTGCTGCTGATGTGCCACGTGCCCCTAGGGTCATCCCTATCCCAGACTGGGCTTGTTTCCCGAGCTGTACCATGATGCAAAGGCAGCCTCTCTCTGAAGCTTCTTCCAGCTGTGGCTATCGTCCTGGGGATCCCGACCGCCCTCTCCAACCTGGTGCTCCCTCCCGCCCCACTCCCTTCCCTGGAGACCTTATAAAGCCATTGTTTACACTGGGGCTCAGGGCTCAGGGCTCAGGCTGCCCCAGTGACAGGCCAAACACCAGGCAACTTGAGCAACAGCACGGCTGAGTCACACTTTCCAACTGGATCAGGGCTGGGCTGGGCCCCTCTCCCTCCAAGCTGGCTTGCTGGGCAGCAGCTCCTAAGTCCATATATGATCTGGAGATAGCACCAAGCCCATCCGCCACTCATCTGTGCTCCTTCTCTGAGTGTGTGTGTGCACATGTGGACTGCCCCCCACAATGGCTCCAGGCCCTGAGGGGCATCTGAGTGTGCCCCTACCTGTCACTGACTCACATTCCTTCAGCCAATCCCCTTGCTCCTTCTGGGCCTCTATTTTCAATCCTCTCTACAAAATGGGCGGGAACACAGTGATGGGGCAAGGAAAACAGCCACTAAGTGGGGAGTTTGGAGTCTCAGTTTCTGGCCCCAGCTCTGACCTAACCATCTTCCCTCTCCCTCCCACCCCCAGGACAGTCTTAGCCCACGTCTCTCTCTGAGCTCCTTGTCTGTAATGGGGTAGTTAGTTTAGGATCTGAATTCTTTACTTTGGTACTGAGGTGAGGTGACCAGAGAGGAAATGCCACAGCTGGCTTAGGATCCAGAGTCCCCAGCCAGAAACATCTTCCTGTTGAACTGGTCCTGCTCCTGAGCTCCCCACTTTGGAGTATGGCACCACCAACTCCCCAGTGCCCACACAGGAGCCTGGCAGACTTCTTGACCTTCCCTCTCCCTCTCCAAACCAGATCTATTGGGAAGCCTGTCTCTCTAGCTCTTAAGCTATTCCAGTCATCTAGTCCATCCCATCTCTCATCCAAGCCTCATCCGAGGAAGGTCCTAGAATGCTATATCCATCCCTTCTCTGTTTGGAAACCCTTTATAACTCCTGTTGTCCTCAGGAGGAAGGTCAAACTTTTTTTTTTTTTTTTTTTTTTTTGAGATGGAGTCTCGCTCTGTCACCCAGGCTGGAGTGCAGTGGCATGATTTCAGCTCATTGCAACCTTCGCCTCCTGGGTTCAAGTGATTCTCCTACCTCAGCCTCCTGAGTCGCTAGGATTACAGGTGTGCGCCACACGCCTGGCTAATTTTTGTATTTTTAGTAGAGATGGGGTTTCACCATGTTGGTCAGGCTGGTCTCGAACTCATGACCTCGTGATCTGCCCACCTTGGCCTCCCAAAGTGCTGGGATTACAGGCATGAGCCACCGTGCTCGGCCAGAAGGTCAAACTTCTAACTGTGGCCCCCTCCTCCCTCATATCCAGACTCAAGTTTCTTCCCTTCCTGATGTGCTGTGCTCTCCAGCTCTCTTGCCCTGCTAAGCCTAGGCTGATTCCTCTGCCTGGAACTCCCTCTCCCTCCTTTAGCCTGAACTTGTTCAGATCCCAGCTTAGTTTGCACTTTTTTCAGATGGGGGGCCCAGACCTGCAGCCTGGGTCAGGCATCTCCCCTGGGCTTCCCCCATCACAGTGCTGCCCACCTGGGTCATCACTGCCCATTTAGAATGGTCTCACCTGCTGGGCCCTGAACTGCCAGAAGACAGGGCTATGTCTGGCTCCTCTGGCTTGACTAAATGCCCCCCTTACTTCCCCCACCCGCCTCCCTGGACCCTCTCTGGCCTTGCTGAGCAGATTCTGGTGAAACGGGGCAGGTGGTAGAGGCGGCGTTTCTCACCGTGGGGCCCCGAGCAGGGGTTAGGACTTTTTGGTTTTTACCAGCCCCTTCTGGACCAGACAGCGGTAGAATTCCTGGATGTACGTGTACACGCACTTCCAGTCAGGCTCTCGAAGCCGCACCATGTCCTCTGTATCCAGGAGCTGCGGGCAGTCCGCATGGGTCCTGGGGAGGGTAGGGGGCCGGGAAGGGGTGGGGGACGGGGGCAGGAGGCCAGGGCCCCGGGTGGGGAAGAGAGGGAAGAGGCAGAGAAGAGAGAGGGGAGGAAACAGAGACACACACACATACACACACACACACAGAGACATGAGTTCAATTACGATTCCAGTGCTGCAGTCTGCCAGCCCCCCGCATGCCTCCTCCCCACTGTGGACGTGCCGCTCACTACCCATCACTAATGGTGTGCAATGCAGACAAGGGTGGGGGCCAAACCAGTCACAGGTGCAGAGAACTCTAGGGGCAAGCGGGAACGCGGGGTGGGGGCGATGGCGTTGGCACCAAGGTTGGAGAGGAGGGCTGTGCCCCGGGGAGAGGGGGTGAGGGAGGCGTGAGAGGAGGTGGGGGGAGGAGGAAGAGGAGAAGGAGGAGGAGGAAGAAATTTGAGGGAAACCAGAAAGAGAAGGGGAAAGAAGGGAAGACAGATGGAGAAGGGTGCTGAGGGTGAGGTGAGCAGACGGGGCAACGATTCCAAAGTGGAGGGCTTGCTGAGGTCCTATATAAGCCTCTGGCAGCACTATATAGGCTGGGCGGGCACGGTGCCCGGGCCAGGAGCCTCCTTTTGGAATCTCCAGCCGGGATCCCGTGGGAGCAGGAAGCTCTGGTGATAGTGGGAGGAGAGCAGGACAGAGAAAGGGAGAGAGAGGGAGAAGGGGGCAGAGGGAGGATGGAGGGGATATGGACAGGGCCACCTGGTGGGCTTTGGCCCGGGCTGGTAGGCCGGCCTGCGGCTCCTTCGTTCCGGCGGGCACCTGGCACGCTCAGCAGCGGGGGGGTGGGGATGGAGAAGGACGGGGACTCTCTGGGGAAGGGGGTCTCAGCCGCTGACTGACAATGTGGCTGGCCCGCTCCAGGGGTTCTCAGGGCAACTGGGCCTGGTCCCGATGTCCAGCCCCAGATGTGCAGCAACATTAGCAGGGCCAGGGCCCACACTTACTCCGCAGATGAGAAGGCCACCTCGAAGTTCTGGCGTCGGTTCTGAGGGCTAAGCTGCCCATAGTCGAAGGCCTCAGGGAAGAAGTTGTGCACCAGGGCACAGAAGGCCATCCCATCACTCCAGCTGGAGGAGAAGTTCTGGATGTCGACGTGCTATAAGCCGTAGGAGGACTGGTCAGGAACCTGGGGGCAACTCCCCCCTGCTGTCTACCCCTCAGCATTCTGTTATTCCAGACCTAGGGCACTGGGCACAAAGAGGCCCCGTAGCTTGCACAATGAGTGAATAGTTGGAACATGAGCCTCCTCCAAGTCAGCCTGTCAACTCCCATATTTGCAATTTCAAGGGACAGAGCTACTGAGAGGCCCAGCGCCACCCAGCTAAGGCTATGGTCATGCCTCATCACTCCTTCCCTCATTTAGAGAAATTGACTCAGGGCCTCCTACAGAGCAACAAGGAGGGGACTCCAAGAGTGGGATCCGGCCTTGAACCCTGCCCACCACCCAAGAGGCCCTGTTACTTCATCACTGATTCTGGAATCTAGGGCTTGCCTTGTGTCCTCTTTGAGCCTCAGTTTCCTCACCCCAAGAGCCTTTCCATGTTCCCTGTGAGGCCACACAGTGGCAGGAAGTGTACTGGGTAATAGGAGCTCTGCTAAGAAGGAGGTGTTGAGCTGGGGTCTGGGGAGGCCTCCAGGCCCCCTGGCCTCCCGGGGCTCACCTCGTAGCCGCGAGTCTTGGCTCGACACCAGTCCAGCAGCATCTGCTTGATGCTGTTGGCGTTGGGGACCCCGAAGCTGGTGGATCGCTGCACGGCTGCGCGGGGTCCGCCAGGGCTGCTGTAGGGGCGGTGTCAGGACCAGGTCACACGACTATAAGGGGCATGCCTCGGTGGGCCCACCCAGTGGATCCCAGGCCCCGCCTTCCATGACCTTCGGGCCTTTGCACCACAGATCTAGCCGCGCGGTCTTCCCGCCTCTGCCGGGCCAACTATCAAGCCCCGCCCCCCACTGCCTATCACGCCCCGCCCCCCACTGCCCAGCCCACTTCTGCAGCTCACCCGGCCGCGCCCTCCTTCTCCAGCTTCTCAATCATGGCCTTGCGCGCCTGGGAGGCTGAGGTCTTGGGCAGACTCTGCGCCTTCATCAGCTCTTTCTTCTTCTCGGCCTGCCGTTTCTCGAGCGCCGCCAGGCTGCCGGCCCGTGGGCTGGCCTGGTCCTCGCGGTCGAAGATGCTAGGGGTTGGGGAGGCGCATGTTAGGCAGGGAGAGCAGGGCTGCTCCCCAGCCTGGACCACCACTCGCGAGGAGGAGGGGGGGTCTTGTAGCACACTAGTATCTCCACTGCCACAAACGCCTGCCAGGGAGGGAGGCGTCCTCATCACACGCATTTTAGAGGAGTACACTGAGTCTCAAATGACAGCAAGGTTTTCAACAGGTTTCCGCCTCCCCCTCCCCCACCCACGAGTAGTTCTCTGAGAAGCCTCATTGTACCCTCAAGTTACAGGGGAGTTCAGCTTCTGGGCACTATCCGATAATAAAAATGATGACTAGCATAATAATAGTAATAATAATAATTCATCTCTGTTGATCCTTTCCTGTGTGCCATTTTAAACTTCACAAGAGCAGGGAGGGGCCTTACCAATTCCACTAAAGGTGAGGAAACTGAGACCTCTGGCAGTAACTTGCCTAAGATTTCAGAGGACGTGATGGGCGGAACTAGAACTTGAACAAGGTCTCTCTGATTCAGAGTCTCTGGACCCCTTTGGTTCTCATCCTGGATTCTGATCCTGTTCCTGCTTTCTGCCAGCCCCAACAGCCTCTGTTACATGGGGGTACCCTCCTTTCTCATGGGGCTAAGGTATAAAGGTGCTGTGTGACCTGGGACATGGTTTGCAGATACTGGGAAGTGGCAGTGCCACCAGGCAGCTCAGTGTGGTAGGTAGGCCTCTGTAAGTGTTCAATGCTATTGCAGCCACTCAGAGATGTGAGCCCCTAAGCAACTCACTGGCCTCCCTGAGCATCCACCTCTCCTGTGGTGTGGTTGAGAATAAAATGAGATCCCAAGGAGAGCAGGATCCTTAACTCTCACTTTGCCCCTCCCTGGCTATAGACCTATTACCTCCCAGCATCCCAGTCTACCCCTCTGTTTTATTTATTTATTTATTTATTTATTTATTTATTTATCTATTTATTTTTGAGACTGAGTCTCGCTCTGTTGCCCAGACTGGAGTGCAGTGGAGTGATCTCAGCTCACTGCAACCTCCGCCTCCCAGGTTCAAGTGATTCTTGTGCCTCGGCCTCCCCAGTAGTTGGGATTACAGGTGCCTGCCACCACGCCCGGCTAATTTTTGTATTTTTAGTAGAGATGAGGTTTTACCATGTTGGCCAGGCTGGTCTTGAACTCCTGACCTCAAGTGATCCGCCCACCTCGGCCTCCCAAAGTGCTGGGATTACAGGCAAGAGCCACTGTGCCCAGCCCACCCCTCTGTAAAACGGGTTTGCAGTTAGGTCCCCTGTGGCACTGACTCCTCTATGGTCAGGGATTGGGTGCTGGTGCTCACCTGCCCATCTTCTTGGATGAGGAGGAAGAGGAGAAGGTCTTGGTTTGCATCATGGTGCTGCCACTGCCATCTGCAAAAAAGGGGAAGGGGCACCAGGTGAGGGCCTGGGCTGGACATCAGGAGATGGGATGGGAGGCTGTATGGAGGGGTGGTGATAGCCGCAGGCAGAGAAGAGAAAGTGACGGCACAGTTGAAGACACGGAGAGAGAGCTCAAGGAAGAGCCGGAGGAGGTGGGCGGACAGGCAGGCAGGCACAGGGCGACACCAGGTGGCCTTACTCTCCGAGCGCCTCACGAAACTCGACTCCACTGTGGTGGTGCGGGCCGTCCGTGTGCCATCATCTGCAGGGGCAGGGGATGAGAAGGATGTGAAAGGCACAGGGGGCTGGGGGAGGATGTGTTCCCACCCTGAGCCCTGGGCCGGCCCCATTTGGCCCCTTACTGGAGTGGACGAGCCGCTCAGTCTTGGTAACAGTGCTGACAGCAGAGCCATCAGCTGCCCGCTGGCTGTGCCTCGTGGTGGTCTCAGTGGCTGTGTTGCCGCGCCCCTCCCCTGGCCGGCCCCGTGCCTCCTGCAGCCGCCGTTCCCGCTCCTTGTCCCGCTGGTCTGGGCAGGGGATGCCCCATGCATGCGCAAAAGGGCCACCAACACCCACACAGCACAGATGCACAGGTGCATGGGGCACACAAGACGGGGTGGAGGGTGGCTTGTTAGAAACATGAATGACACAGGTAACAAGGGCCTCTCTAGGAGCAGCTGGGGTGAGGGGACAGCCATAACTTGACAGGGAATGGAGTGTGGGAAGGGTTTGATGGACTCAGGCAGAAACTAGAGAATACGGAGTAGCTAAACTCAAAGGGGTATGGATCCAAAAAGGGTTTCTATAGGCATGAGTAGCTAAGTCAGGAGGGGTATCTAGATCTAGTGAGGGGGTAGCTGAGTCCAAGGAAGGAGAAGCTGAGTGAGGAAGTAGCTGGGTGGGCCATCAGCAGGTCTTTGGTTGGAGGAGAAGAGCAGCTGGAGGCAGGAATATTTAGATCCAGGAAGGGAGCAATTGATGGGATCTGAGAAGCAATCTGATCCAGGGGAAGAGTAGCTGGGAGAGAAGCTAGTGAAGGGGGTTAACTGGGCTTAAAATAGAAGTAGGTGGGTAGAGATAGAGACTGGGGTGGCCATCAGTGGGCCCTGGCAGAAGCAGCTAGATTCAGAGGAGTAATTGAGAGTGTTTGAGAGGAGAAGCAATTGAACCCAGAATCTAAGGGAATGAATAGATGTGTCCAGGGAAGAACTATCTGGGGGAGGAAGTAGTTGTGTCCAGGAAAAGGGAAGCTGGATGGGGCAGAGGCTAAGATGGCCATCAATGGACTTCAGGGAGAGAGGAGCAGCAGGGAGAAGGAGTATCTGGATTCAGGGAAGGAGTCGTTGACAGTACTTTGAGAGGCAACTGGATCCAAGGAGAGAGTAGCTGCGGGAGGGAGTATCTGGGTCTAGGAAGGAGAAGAGAAGCTGGTTGGGGAGAATAACTGGGGTCACCAGCGGGAGAGAAGGAGCTAGGGAAGGAGCAGCTGGATCCAGCAGGGAATAGCCAAGGGAACTGCTGGGTCTAGAGAAGGAGAAGCTGGGTAGGGCAGTTATTAAGCTGGGGTGTCCACAAATGGACCCCAGAGTATGAGGGGAGCAGCTGGGGAATGGGGCAGCTGGATCTAGGGTAGGGCAACTGGCTCTCTACCTCTCTTCCTTTGTCGGAGCTCACGAAGTGCAGCCCGGATGAGCTTCCGCTCTTCAAAGTCCGTGCTCTGATCCAGCTGCATATAGAGCCCATCATTGCCTACCTGGTGCCTGCTGGCCTCTGCCAACCCCCAGCCCACCGGATCTGGCTATACCATCTTGTCCAAGACTCCTTCATCCTCAATAGTCATCAGCTCCTCAGCGCTCAGAGGGCTCCGCCCTTCTGGTGCTTTGTTCACTCGGGTCTGCTCAGCCCCATTGGCCGCTTCCACTGCTGCAGCGAGAGGCTCTGCTGGCTCTGCTTCCATCTGCAGGGTGGGGAGAGGGCATGGACTTTAAGCAGGGGTATGGGTGAAACTCATCATGTCTCCAATGGATAGGGAAGCAGATCCTAGGGTTGCTGGCACGCCTTGGAAATAACCACTAGCCTGCCAGCCTGCCTGCCCAAAGATGGCCATGTCAGCGTCAGTCAGGGAAGAGGCACTGACAGTTTTGTTGTAGGGCTTCCCACGTACCCCGAATTGTATTAATACAATGGATAGTGATAATAATGATGATTTCCAGTCCATAGTAAGTGTTGTATAAACACTAGGGACTTTACTGTCCCTATTTAACAGAAGGGAAGGCCGGGCGCAGTGGCTCATGCCTGTAATGTCAACAGTTTGGGAGGCCGAGGTGGGAGGGATCACTTGTTGCCAGCAGTTTGAGACCAACCTGGGTAACATAGCGAGACCGCATCTCTACAAAAACAAAAATAAAAAATTAGCTAGGCATGGTGGTGTGCACCTGTAGTCCCACCTACTCAGAAAGCTGAGGTAGGAGGATTACTTGAGCCCAGGAGTTAGAGGCTGCAGAGAGCTATGATCATGCAGCTGCACTCCAGTCTGGGCAAGAGAGTAAGACCCTGTTGCAAAGAAAACAAGACCGGAAAAAAAAAAAAAAAAAACAGAAGGGGAAACTGAGGCTCAGGGCAGCTAACTGACTTGCCCACAGTCTCTCTCTAAGTGTGATGCAGCCTGGGATCTGAGCTGAAGGCAGCCTAACTCCTGAACCTTAGTTCATTTTGCTGCTTTGTTCCCAGCCCCCTCCCAGGCAGGCTCTGCTCTGTGCTGCCAGTTCCCGAGGCCTAGGTCCTCCTGGGCCAGTGCCCAGGCAGCACATGTTGCCCCCCATCTGCCTGCTACCTTGCCAAGAGGGCTGGCCCGGGGCCTGTAGGCTCCTGACCAGGTGTCTGACTGGGGCTGCCCTGAGCCAAGACCTCTATGAAGCTCTCCTCTGTACCACCTCCCCCTGCCTCGCCCCTGCTGGAAACCATCCTCTAAGGAGTCTCTAGCCCTGCAGCCCTCCCAGGGCATCTCCCTAGCCCCTTGAAGACAAGGCCCCAAGCCAACTATTATGGCCCTTCCTCTCCTGGCAGGGCCTCTCCGTCTGCTATAAGGGTAAGGAGAGCTGAGGTGGCAGCTGTTTCAGGGAGGCTTGGTCTGGCCAGGGTGCAGGGCGGCAGGGAGCTGGGGGCTGGGGCCTGGGTCATGCCAGGGGCTGCCAAGGCAGCTGCCACACATGCCTCAGGGCTGGAGCCTGGCACCCTCTTGCCCTAGTCTTAGAGCACTAGTGCCCCAGTCCCCTGTCAAGATAGATAAACTGAGGCTCAGAGAAGGTGGTGACATACCTAAAGTCAAGAGGAGGCAGAGCCTGGCTCAAAACTACCCCTCCCACCAACCCAGAAGCACTTACGAGACTAGTGCTGCGGGTGGTGCCGGTGGAGGAGCGGCGGCGGGTGCTGAAGGCAGGTGGGTGGGCCACGGGGGTCCCGGCATCCTCGGCAGCCTGAAAGAGGGCCTCGGGGTCGGCGGCAGCCAGGAGCAGCTCGCTGGGCTCCAGCTCAGGCTCAAGGCCGGACACAAGTGGGACCCCCAGCCGTAGGCTCAGCACCTCCACCTGCCTGCTCAGTGCATCCAGCCGCCGGCTCAGTGCTGCTCTCTCTGCCCGCAGCTCTTCAGCTGCCCGGGCCACCGGCTCCACGGTGGCTACAGCTACCTCGGCTGCCTGGGTCACTGCCACCCGGCCTGCTTCAGCCACCGCCCGCAGCTCCTCCAGTGCCCGGCCCAACTGCTCCTCAAGGGCTGCGGCCAGCTCAGGCCCAGGCCCTGGTACCCCCGGCATGGTGCTGGTGGGGACTCTATGGGGGGTAATGGTGGGGCAGTGGCAGGGGCTGCTGTCTCTGGCTGAGTGTCTGAGTCTTTGCAGCTGGTCCGAGGGCAAAGGCAAGGGCAGCGGGCCTGCCCCGCCCCTGCCTCCCAGCCCGCCACCAGCCAGCTGGAGCTGCAGCCCAAATAGAAACCTATTCTGGGCTCCTCCGTGGAAGGGGCAGTGGGGGAGGGGGGGCCTGCCCAAGCAGGCGGATCGCCAGGCCTGGCTATAGCCCTACAGAAATCATAGGCCTGCAGCACAGTAAGACTGCATGGGTTCTGAAGATCACTGAGATCGGGGCCCCATGCCTCACAGGTGGGGAAACTGAGGCAGGGAACAGGGAATGGACCTGGCCTAGCCACCATGTACATTAGCTGTGAGAATCAGTCTGCTGGACTCCACAGCCTGTACTCCTTTACCCTTTACCCTAACTCCAGCTGTTTTAGACAGCTGGAACAGATGGGGGAAATGGAGGCACAGGGAGGCAGGACTTTGAGTGATCTGCTATAAAAAGTGTCTTGGTCTTACATAAATGCCCTCTGGCCTGCCCATGGTGCTCACGTCCAACCACAGACTTTGAGCAAGCACATTATGGGTACATCACCTGTCCCCTTTGGTTCCAGATGGGTAAACTGAGGCAAGTTGGTGGTGTCAGACCCAGGTCTCACTGTGGCACCTCCCATCCACCTCAAGGGCCTCAGCGGGTCCCCCCACCCCACCCCACACAATCCCTTGTCAGAGGGCAGCTGGATCCTGCTTTTTTGGAAAGGAAGGGTGCTTTATTTCCCTCACTCTCTCCCTGTCTCCCCTGAGAAGGCCCAAAGCTGGTCTAGCCATCTCACCTCAGCCAAAGTCCCATTCAGTCCCTGGTTTAGCACAGAGGGCATTACCTGGGCAGCCGGGTGGCCCGCTTGGGGATCCCTTTCCCGGCTGAGCTCCCGGCTAGTGGATCCTGGGCTTGGGAATGAATAATGGAAGGGTGCTGCGTATTCAGTTCCCAAGGCACCTGCTAGGCTGCTGCCTCACCTGATTGGCGCCCCTCTGCCTGTCTGTCCCCCCTCAGAGCTTCTGCCCAACCCCCACAGGGAGGTTGACGCAGATGCTAATCACTAATCTCCAATCTCCTAATGGGCCAGGCTGATCTTGGATGAGCAGATGAGCTGCTCTATACCTCGGGGCTGATGTCCAGTGTGGGTGGGCGCAGGGGCACTGGGGCTGCCACAGGAAGAGGGGAGCAAGCCCTTACCACCCTCTCTGAGCCTCAGTTTCCCCATCTGTTCACCAGGAATGAACCAACCAATTTCGAACTAAGGATCAGAGATCAGCATCCAGGAAGCTTAACGCCAGTACAGAGTAAGCTTCCGACACACTTAGGGACTGATATGCTAGGGTCTGGCCTTAGCTCTGCCACCGACTGGCTGTGGTCTGTGAGCAGCCACCTTCCCTCTCTGGGCCTCGGTTTCTCTGTGTGTGCAGTAGGGGAGGAGCAGAGGAACCCTGCTAGCCCTACACCCTGAAGCAGTGTATGTGAGGCTGACGGATGGTGAGGCTGGTGGGGTGAGGAGGGGCTCACCTTGATGCTGCAGCCTCCTCGGCTACTGGGGGGGGCATGGCTGAAGCTGGTGACATGAGTGACACTGCCCAGCCGAGCCAGGGTCCCAGGGCTGTTGACACGGGTGATGGTGCTCTTGCCCCCACTACTGGTGCTGAGTAGGGTCGGGGGCGCCCGCAGCCCCAGTGTCAGTTCTGAGTGGGGAGAAAGGTGGCTGTCAGGAGGATCAGGTGGAGTGAGGGCAGTGCCAGACAAGGTTGATAATGCCCTCGCTCCCAGCACACCCTTTGGAGACACCCTGAGTCCTGGCCGCAGCACCTGTCCTGCATGCAGAAGTGCGGTTGCAGGCACTCATCCCCATTGGGGAGGCAGTGGGGGGCGCCTACCTGCCCTCTGGTTGCCTGTGGGCAGCAGCACCCGGCCTGTGGAGGCCTGGCCACGGCCGTCCTTGATCTCGATGGTGAATGTGGTCTTCATACTGCCCCCTGGCTCGGCAGTGCCGACGGCCACGGGCAGCGGGGCACCAGGCTCCTCTGAACGTGCCACAGGCCCCCCTGCTCTGTTTTCAAGGGGCCTAGCAGCCAAGCCCCGCCCCCTGGGGCCCTCCTCCTGGGGGCAGCTTCGAAGCTGGGCCAGGGGCTGGGCTACTCCTCGTTGCTCCTTGCTGAACCGGGAGGAGGTATCACTGGGGCCCCGAGAGGAGGAGCCGCTGGAGGAGGAGGCAGGGGTGGTGCTGGTGAGGGAGGGGCCCAGGAGCCTTGCGGGGGTCAGGGGACTTAGGGCAGCCTGGGGTGTGCCATCCTGGAGCCTAGCAGCCATAGGAGAATCAGATGTGAACTTGTGGACACGATCCCGCACAGAGCCAGCCCGCTGGAATGAGGAAGGTCCGCTGGCAAGGGGGGTGGACTCTAGAAGGAACAGGAGGGCTGTCAGCAACTGGGTGGGACAGGGTCTGCACAGATCCTAGGCAGGGTGAGAATAGGTAGTACCTCGGTTCTGGGCTGGTTGGCGGGGGCTGAGCACCGACAGGGAGCGTTGGCAGGGTCGGGGTCCAGCCACGTCTGGCAGGTTGGGGAGGGGGTGATGGCCATGTGGGGAAAGAGAAAAGACAGGGGATAGTGGGTGTCCACCTTTCATAATCCTCTCCTCTACACCTCCCTAGCTTCCCACCCTTTCCTGTACTCAACCCCCACCCCACCTCTCCATCCCCTCCTGGATCTCCCACACTCCGGCATCCCCACTCGGCTGCATCTCTCCTACAGGCACCTCCTTCTCCTGCCACACTGACCCTAGGATGACTTGGACACTCCTGGGGGCCAGGCGAGGCTTAGGCTGGAGGAAGGGTGCCCAGATCCTTTCTGCAGATGGGGAGGGGGGACAGCCCTCCTGGCCAGTGCTGCCCACAGCTCCAGCTGGGAGATGGGTGGACTCCCTTATTGGGGAGAAGAATGTGCCTGAGGCCCGTTGCCTTTCAAGGCTGCAGGGGAGGCCTCTAGCCATGGGGGTGGAGGGGGAGGCTGGCCTAGCTGGGGGCGGGGACACTTCAGGGGTGGGGTGCAGTATCAGGGACTGCATGGACCTGAGGAAGCTAGAGCTGCCAGGCACAAGAGCCCATTTTCTAGGCAGGGAAAGGGAGGCAGGGGGAGGGGAAGAAAGATGCCTGTGACTACCCCTGCTGGGACCCTCACCTGCTCTCTTGGTGTCAGAGGGGCCTCTGGTGGGGCTCTGGGCAGCAGGGGTCTCTTTGGGGCCAGACAGAAGCTGCAAGGGAGAAGAACAGGGCCTGAGCAAGGCCTGACTCCCAGACCTGCTCACTTGCCTGGCATCCCTGCCCCTCATCCAGACTCACCTTGTTGACCACCTGGCCCTCAGTGCTGGGGAGCGTTGGAGACTCCTGAGGCTCAGGGCTGGTGGTCTTGGGTGGGCTGGGGGGTGGCTCTGGGCTGCCTGGAACCTCAGCTGTAAGGCACTGGGCCTCGGCAGGCTCCAATGGAGGCTCAGGAGAGGCAGGGGTGGGTGAACTGCTGGGTGAGGCAGGTGAGCTGGATGTGCTCCCAGGTGGGGCTCGCAGCAGGAGTGTCACTGTGGTCACATCCTGGCTGGTGCCTTCAGGGGTGGGGGTTGGCTTTGAAACCTCTGCCTGCTGTTCCTGTTCCTCTCGCTCTGGCACCTGTAAGGGACCCACAGGATGCAACCAAGGCTCCCTAGGCTTTGAACGCCACCCCCACCACTGAGGGCCAGGCTGGCAAGTGCCCAGGGCAGGGCATGCAAAGCAGAGTGGTGGGGCATGGCTTCCTGTAGGCACACCTGCGCAAGCACTGGCACTGGCATGCTAAGGGCAGTCTCTGATCCCCACTTCCCAATCTCTTGGCACTACCTAGCCAAAGGGGTTCAGAGAGGACCAGGTCCTGATGTCAGTGGGTG
This sequence comes from Homo sapiens, assembly GCF_000001405.40. Lineage (NCBI taxonomy): Eukaryota > Metazoa > Chordata > Mammalia > Primates > Hominidae > Homo > Homo sapiens. The sequence goes on along the minus strand of NC_000022.11, from coordinate 31,089,444 downwards.
GGTATGGCAGGAGACCTATTGGGGACGGGAGCCTTAATAGATCCCTGGAGTGGAGGTTCCTGACTCCTGGCCTCAGCCTGGTTCATCTGGAGTGGGAGTGGGGTCCTGCCAGGACCGTGGACCCAGCGGCCTCTGCTGGCCACTTGGGGAACCTGCATGGCCTGACCTCTCACCCACACTCTGGAAAATAGAGTGAACTGTGAGCCAGCTGGGGTCTGACATGCAGGCCCCATAAGCCAAGGTAAAGATGTGGGCTGTGTGGAGGGTGAGGGGCAGCCCTGGGACGGGTTGAAGCAGGGGAGGTGCCAGGGCCGGATTTGCATTTCTGGGAGATCCCTCTGACTGCTAAATAGAGGCTGGATGGCAGGGGTGGGCCCCTTACAGTGAAATACCAGCCTAGCAAAGACACTCAGGCACTCTGTGCTACCGGTATCCATGGGCACAGGACACTGGGCCACTCTCCCACCCTCCTTACCTCACACTGTTCCAGCCTGTGTGCCGCTAGCCCCTTGCTGTCCTCTCTTGAGCCACTGTTGGGACGCCCGCTGTACAACCTCCCAGCCAAGGTGGCAGCTGGAAGGGAAGGAGCAAGTGGCAGGTGAGTGACAGGGAGGTGCTGTGGACAGCAGACAGCAGGGCAGGGGTGGGGCCGGGACAGGCCACATACCCTCAATCTCCTGAGCCCGTACACGGCGGATGGCAGCTCGGATCAGCTTGCGCTCCTCATACTCACCAGCGCTTCGCAACTGTGGGTAAGAGACAGGTCGCGGGTGTTGGGCTGTGGAGTCCAGGTCTTCACCTGCCCTGCCCCCATCCCCTGCCCCAGCCTGGGCCTCACCAGTGCAGTCAATTCCTCCACATCGTTCATGGACTCCAGCTGCCCTGCCAGCCGTGCCAGGGCAGCCCGCTGCTCAGCTTCCCGCTGCTGAGAGCTGCAGAGACATCATGACTGTAACCACCACTGCCATGGCCAGGTCGTGGAGGATGTGGGCTAAGGGTAGGAGCCAGAACAGAGTACCCAGAACCTTGGCAGAAGGGCATGTGGCTGTGCACACCCTCTAACTGCACACTGATACACATATGCCCATGGACGTGGGCACTAATACCACACACTCAGACGTGCTGGCTACATCAGCACGGCCGCGACGCCACAATCAGTACATGCTCCATGCCCACAAACATCTCTGTTTTTCCAGAAGCGTGTGTGGACGTACTGCCATTAGCACATGCAATCCACAGATACACTTGTGCTCACGCCTGCCTGCACACATGAGCTGAGCCAGGGCTCACACTCACCTTCTCACCCGCATGTTCCACCCCCCGCTACTCACTGCAGCCAGTTCTCCTTGTTGTCCTGCCGCTCGGCACGGAAACGCTTGGATGCCAGGGCCTCCTCCTCGCGCTCCAGCTCCTGCCGCTGCAGTTCCCGGATGGCTGAGCGGATGCGCCGCCGCTCTGCCAGATCTGCTGTGACCTCCAGCTGCAGTGGGTGCGAGAGGCAGGTCATTTTGGCTGCCAGGGGCGGAGGGCTGGCACCAGCTGCCCACGGCTCTGCCTAGGGCACAATGTGTGGCCTGTGTCCACTCCCTGTGTCCCAAGCTCTTCACGTGCCTGCCTGCCCACGCAGGGTCCCGGGGGTAGACCCAGCCCACTGTTTCAGGGATCTTGGGTAGTCCACTTTGCATTGTGGTTCACAGAGCACACAACTGTGAGTGGACAGCCAGAAACTGCCCACTTGTGCCAGGTGCCAAGCCAGGCACTCCTTTCTACAACTCGATTCCTGCCTCTCAGAGCCCAGATCCCCAAAAGTCAGGGAGCTATTGTAGGAGGAGGAGGGAGGCCACCCTGTGGGTCACTAACAGGGTCCCTAGAGGGAAAGGTGACAGATGAAGTCCACCCTCTGAGCAAGGGAGGCTCCCTGGTCTAGTCACCAAACACCACAGCCCAGCTGGGGGTTGACTGCTTCATCCACAGATGGGGAAACTGAGGACAGGTGCTCAGGAGTCCTGCCTGGCTGAGGGCTATTGTCCCCACTGCACTGGCCTGGACCTAGCCACCATGGAAGAAGCCAGGGTGCAGAGTGGGAGGACCAATCCCCCAGACATATAAGGTGGCTGGCACTAGGGGCCACCCCAGGGCCTTATAGAGGGCATCCCTGGGTGACAGCTGCTTCTACCGGTTCTCAACCCCTCAGTTCCCGGGAAATTGGGGGTGACTGGTCTAACCAGGTTCAGGAAAGAACACCTTCTCTGGAGTGAGTCAGCCAATCCTGTTGCCTCCCCCACACCTCCACCATGTAGAGCCACCTGCTACATACAGATCCTCCGTGGCTCAAGGGAGAGAGGACTGGCCCAGGGTTCCCCTGGAAGATAGTGGCAGAGATAAGCCTCCAGTGTGGGTCTGATAACCAGACGGGAGCCAGTAAAGGCGGGGTGATTTCCTCTGTCCCCACCCCCCAAATCATTCAGGGGTAGGGCCAAAGAACCCTCTATCATCTCCCTTTTTAGCGCCCCCCCGTCATTCCTTTCTGCTTAGCGGGAAGGCCAGGTGGCAAGGGTGGGGATGGGATGGAGATAGTTTTCAGCAGGGAGTGTGGGCTGGCCCAACTCAGCCATGAGCCAGCTTGTCCTAGTCTGAAGAGAGCAGGGAGAGTCTTGGGGGAAGAGCCCTCCAGGCTCCACATTCCTGAGGAATTATGAGAAGACCCCCTGAAACTCAGGCCAGAGCCCTTAGTTGGTTCCAGCCCTAGTCCAATCCTGGCTGGGTGATCAAGAGCATATCCCTTAAACTCTCTGTGTCTTGGTTTTTTCATTTGCCAGTGGGTGGGGTTGGGAACAGTGACTTGGCCTCTCCTGTACATAGCTGCAGTTGCAATAAGCATCACCCCCATACTTGGTTCTAGCCAGTCAGGAGGAGGGAGAGAGACAAGGGGGCAAATGGGAAGGGCAGGATACCCCGAGGCATCAGTAACATTTATGGAGAGCCTGTGAGTCAAACCCTGTGCTGAGCCCCCTACTTGTCCTAAGCCCACAAAAACCCTAGATACTACTGTTATTCCCATTTGACAGATGAGGAGATTGAAGTCCAGGGAGGACATGTGATTTGCTCATGGTCAAATGACCTGAGCCAGGATTTGAACCCAGGTCTCTCTGACTCCAGGGCCTGCCCTAGGCTGAAGATAGCTCTGCTACTGGGGTCTGTGTGTCATGGTGGGGACCTCAGGGATCCTGGCACTGTGTTGGAGACCCCTCTAGCCTGGACTAGAGATGCTCTGAGGCCTAAGGAGGCCTTATAGCAGAGGCGGGGGGAATGAGGCTCACTCCCCAGCCCCCGGTGCTGGCTGTGTCTCAGGCCTAGAGCCTTCTGTGGTACATTTGGAGGCTGGGGGCTGGAGGGGACAGAGGGTCCAGCCCCTTCTGTACAGAGGGTAAAGAGGCCCAGAGGGGCAAGGGCTAGCCTTTTGTCTCCTAGGTCCCCATTCTCAGTGCTCTGGGCTCGGAGATGGGGTCCTTGTCTCTGACAAAAGCCTGATGTAGGAACTTGGCCACCTCTACAGCACAACCCCCGGAGCTTCAGTGTCCCCATCTGGAAAATGGGAGCCTCCCTCTGATCCCCCAAAGTGGGTGGGCAAGGCTGGAGACTGACAACCTCATTCCACTGGTCACCCTCTGGCACGACCCTTCCCTTTGGGCCTGGAGGCAAAGGTTGGACCACAGTGTCTCCTCTGTGTGTCCCGAGTTCCACCCGCCCAGGCCCCACCGCTGTGTAAGGAGGGAGCTGTGGGAGGGAGGGAAGGAAGTACAAAGCGCCATTGTCTACCGAGGGGGAAGGGGAAGGGGATGGGGCGGTTTCCGAAACTGCCCAGTGAAATTCTCCCGGGAGGAAAGAGGGTGCTTCCTCCCCCTGGGGAGCCGGCTCTCCGTGTACTCTCTGCCCTCGCTGTTGGGAACGCCTGGCAGGCCCTGAGGTCTCACTGGGCCTCAGTCTCCCCAACAGCACAACGGAGGGGGCTCTCCAGGCTTTCAGTCCCAGCTCCCCCGGTTGCCCATGGGGGTCCCGCCGGCGGTGGAGGGAAGCCTCGCCAGGGGGCGCTGAAGGCCCGCAGGTTCTGCGACCGCCCTCCCTCGCAGGGCGCCGCCCTCGCCTCGCCCACCCTGCCTCGCGCTAGGCGCCGAAGGGGTAGCCAGGTAGGAAGACACCCGCTACCGCCTGCTTCAGTGTCCGGATCTAAAGGGAAGAAACCAAGGTCCCCAGGACACCCAGCTGAGTGGCGGAGGTCGAACTCGAACTCGGGACCGAGGCAGAGGGCGTCCCGGCGGGTGGTGGAGGGGCACGCGGCGTGCAAGTCCCCAGGCGTCCCCATTCCTCCCATCCCCGGCCCAATCCTCAAGAATGTGCGGGAGCCGGGGCCGGAAGCGACTGCCCGCGTCCCCAAATCGGCCAGACGCTGGGGCGCAGGGCGGGCGGAGCGGGCCTAGCTTTTCCTTATATGGCCCGGCCCCGCGGGGAGGAGCCCGGCTCGGGACGCCCCCGTTCTTGCCACGAGGCCAGCGGGGGCCGGGCCGGCGCGCGGGGCGCAGTAATGGCGGGCGCCGGGTGCTGGAGGAGCCGCTCCCGGGGTCGGAAAGACTTCGAGAGGCACCGATCCCGAGACCGGGGCAGGTTCTCATCTGTCCTTTCCCAGAGATTCAACCACTGCTCCAGCTTCTCTCCAAAACTCTTTTCCAGCGCCGCCCGAGCCTCGCTTAAGAGAGGGAGGTGGCGGCTGAAGAACCCTGAGCCTGCCTGTGGATACCTTGAGATGAGGATGTGCGGGAACCAGGCCTGGCATTCCCTCTTTTTGGACTGTGCTGCCTCTACGACCCCCACTGGGACTTGGACTTCCTGAGGGAAGGTCGAACTGACTGGCGGGCACCTTTGGAAACCTAACCTCATCCCCTCCAGGCTGCACACATCCTGCGGTGATAGTGGAGAGGCAGACACCCAGAGAGTCTAATGCGCTGGTCCGAGAACATACAGGCAGAGTGCCTTGGGGAGGTCATGGCAGCAGCTGGGCACTGCCCAGTGGCTGGGCTACGCTGGTTGGTTCCAGCCTCTGCCTGCGGGGGAAGGTATGAGAGTGGGGTGGGTCACTTGTCTTCTAGGTAAAGTAAATCTTTAATTTACCCCCATGGACAAGGGTCAGGGACTGAGGAGATGGAGCTCCTCTGGCCCCTCCTCCAGGTCAGGCTGCCTGGCCTTTGGGGTTGGGGAAGGAGCCCTGCCCCACTGGGTTGCCCTACGGCCTCTGTGCATGGAGGTAGACAGGGCTCTCAGGAAGAGGAACAAGAAAGGGGATGGAGTGGGCTCATCTTTCCTCCACCTGAGATCTGGGTCCATGCCTCATTCTGTCCCCATGCCAACTCTAGGACCTAGAGCTTGTGTGCAAACACATCTCCCTCCCTCCCTTCATTTTACAGGTAGAGGAACTGAGACTCAAGAGTAGAAAAATGAGATGAGAAGCCACAGAATCCATAAGGGCCCACAAAACCTGTCTCTCTCTTATGGCCTCGTCCAGCCTTGACTTTCCCAGGACTCTGGTCCCCCGTGGCCCACTATGGGGTTGGGATTTTGGCACAGCTCCTTCTTAGATGGGTGTCCTTGAGCAGGTGATTTTAACTCTCTTGAGTCGCAGTGCCCAGGCTTTCAGAGCTGCTGTGATTATTCTGTGACATGGTATACCCAGTACCCAGCCTGCCCCCTGCCAGGCCTTGGCATTATTAATCATTGCTGCTACCATTATCACTGGGCCAGCTTCCAGGGGTGGGCATTGCCCGAGCTATTGCTCTGGAGAGGCATATCCAGCCTCCCCACACCTGTGGCTGCATACGGGCGAGTCTACAGCAGTTACTGTTTAAACAGGTGGTGGCTGTGGAGGGTTGGGAGGGACTAGGCTTCAGTACCAGGCATGGACAGGCACATGCCACAAGGGCCTCTGCATCAGCCACATGGAACTGGCCTACCCCTGTTCCCATGTCCCCCTCCTCCTGACCTTTCCCCCATCACTTCTTCCTGTCAGCTGAGAGGTACCCTGGATTGACCCTGCCTCTCTGGCTTGGCTTTCCTGTCCCCACAGTGGGTGATGGGGCCACTTACCAGCTTCCGAAGGGCTCCCTCATCCAGCCCAGCTAAGGCCTCGTCCGCCATCTCGCTGGCCCCTAGCTCCGTCGGTTCCTTTCTGGTGAGATCCCCAGTGCCTGTGGCACCTGTCACCAGCTCAGAGAATTCTGCAGGGGACAGACATGAATCAGGCATGCTGGGGCTTCCAGAAACCACAGGCACTTAGGCTCTGTGCCTTACTTTCCCTCTCTAACCTAGGAGCGTCCATTACTGTCCCATCCTATAATGTGGCTCCTGGCTGGAAGCTGCCCTCTGCCCTAGGGTGGTTTGCTGGAAAACTCACCAAACCCAGGGTAGGGGGTCTCTGGTTCCAGCCCTGCCAGCTTGGCCGCCAGTCTGCTGTGTGGCCTGGGATGGACTCTCATCCTGTCTAAACCTCAAAACAGGGAGGGCAGGGACCTGGATTGAGAAGCCAGGGCCTGGCAAGACCCACCCAAGCTGTGCTTACCACCAGGGGGTGCACTCCAGTCTCCAGTTTCCTGCCCCACCCACCCATCCACAGGGCCTACCCAGCCCCCACCCACTCCGCAGGCTCAGCTTCTGGCTGTGGGCTGAACCCGTAGTTCTTGCTGCCACCACCACTGTCATTCCCCCAGGTATAGGAAGGTACACTGTGTCTTCCGATTCTTGGAGCCAGCTCTGCTGTCCAGACCTCCTGAAGCCAGGTGTCCAGGCACCCAGCACCTCCTGCCAATTCATACAGAATTCAATTCCCCACCTGGAAGGGCTTTCAGAAGCTGACCTGCCCAACCCCTGGATTTCAGGCAAACTGAGAAGATTGGAGAGGGCCAAGGATTTGTCACTGAGCAAGGAGGAAGCCAAAGACTTAGAGGGCAGAGAAGGATGTAATCAAAATCTTCGTCATCTCCGGCTTCCGAAGCTCCCTTCCAAAGTGCCCTCAAGGGCCTGGAACACTCTCAGTGACAGAGGCAAGAGCCCCATCTTGCCCCAGTGCTGCCCATCAAAATGGACCCCTAAATCCTGGCCCAGCCTCCCAGCGCAGATCTCTCCTTCCTCCTGTAGCCCCAACTAATGTCTGTCTGGAATTTGAGGGGCCCTGGTCTGGCACACTGTGGATGCTTAGTTAATGTATGGTGACTGACTAATGTGTGGCCCCAGGCCTGCCCCCCACCTCCTGTTGATTCATCTTTCAATCATCCCTTCCCTCTCTTCAGAACAGTCACTTGGGAAGTCACCCCATACGGTGCATGGGTGGGGGGTGAGGGTTACCGCTCCACACAGTTGGGGTGTGTGGGTCCCAGCCTGTTCAAGTCACTGCTTGTTCCCCCTCCCATCCTGGTAGGCTCAGAGGTGTCAACCTCCCAATCTCTGCCTGTTAGGATCCTTGCCTCTTACCTAGTTACTCTGTCTGGGTTAAACCTCTTCAAGACTGTCCAGTGGTCACCAGCCTTAGGTTCTGCGGACATTCTGATTCCCCCCATGTCTGTTCTTCTATGGGGCAGCTGACCCTAATGCCTAATCTAGGACACCCATGGGATTATAAGAAGATCCCTGCCGCTGCTCTTCTCCAATCTCCCTGTCACACAGTCTGGGGTCGCCGGACATTGTGAGGGGCCTCAGGATTCTGTGGCAGCTTCCCCAGGGTTTCTGCCGCCACAGACTAGCGCCCCTGTGGGGCGTGGAGTCTCTTAGGAATCCGGGGGCGTCTTCCCCCAACAGTCTCATAACTTTATCCCATGGCTTAGACCTCTCGTATGGGTGGGGGCTCCCAGGTCTGGACGTTCCAGAACTCCTGTCTAGACATCCGGGTTCCACCCCCGGACACGTTGGGGCAGCACCAGGATCCCCCCCGAGGTCCGCACACCCACCTCTCAGTCCAGCCCACCCGTCCGGCGCAGGCTCGGCTTAGCTCTTTCGGGACCCGACAGACGGATTAGACACGCGCAGGCCGGAGGTGCCGCGACCCGCTGTCCCAGGCCCGCTCAGCAACCGTCCCCTGGATTCTGCGGAGAGCTGCCCGTCCAGCCGCGCCAGCAGCCCGGCTGGCCCCGCCCTGCCCCGACGCGCCAGCCAACCCTCGATTGGGTACCTCCCACTCTCGTGCCCCATTGGGAAAATTCAATTTGACGGCCACGCCCCGAGAGGAAGGCCCCGCCCCTCGCGGGCCAGGGAGGTCGGAAATTGGGAGTCTTGGGGTCGTCTGCCTCGGTGGCTTTAGCGAGTCGGGTGGGCATCGGCAGGGGGACGCAGGCTCTGCGCCAAGTCGGGGGGGGCGCCCCGAGCCGAGGTAAGTTTCCTGGGGTCGTAGGAGTCTCAGAGCCTTCAGGACAGCCCCTCTCCGCCCTCCTCTTTGTTCCTGAGACCACGTCCCCTCCCTCGACTCCACCCCTTTCTCGCGTCAGTGTTTAAGCTTGGCCGCCGTCCCTAGGCTGCTTTCGGGACACCTGGTCTGAGCCACCTCAGAGCAGGGACTGAGTGACTGGCAGCACCTTGACCCTGTGTTGGAGTGCCGGGACCATCTCAGGTGGAGCAGAATCAATCACACAGCACGCCTCCCCCAGCCCACACACCTTTGAACAGACATTGCCTTCTTGTAGCATGCTTCTACCTTCCAAGCCCTGAGAGTCTGCCTTTAGGAGCGCTGGAGTCCTAAATAGGGAATATGGAGTCCAGGCTGTCATTCAGCAAAAGGGGGAAATTGAGGCCCAGAGAGAGCTGACATGTCCAAGACCAAACAAGGAATCAGCCAGGGTACCCAGGAGGTCAGATCCACAAGGCAAAGCTATTCCATCTTCAGTGCCAGAGGCCCTAAAGCCGCCCTTGGGTCTCCATGGAGACTAAAGTGGGTGGAGTTGGGAGGATGGGGTCTGGAGTCCTGTCAAATAAAAACAATAACAAATCATTTATTTTGTACTTGCCATGTACCAGGCATATAATGCCCATAACAAGCACATGAGACCATGACTATTGCCCCATTTTACAGATGAGGACAACAGCTGATAAGTAGTAAAGCTGTGATTCATACCCAGCACCTTCTGAGTCCAGACCCTGCTTTTAACCACTATAATGTGGGATTCTGGGGAGGTGGTTTCAGCCTGTTAACCCAGAAGAGCCCCGGTTCAGGTCCTCTGTGACACCCCCCAGCCCCCATCTAAGGAAAGGCCCAGTCTCCACACTGAGAGTCTTTTCCATGTGTCATTTCATTTCATCCCCACACCCCTGAGAAGTGGTCCCATTTTACACATCAGAAAACCAAGGCACGGGCCAGGTGCGGTGGCTCATGCCTGTAATCCCAGCACTTTGGGATGCCAAGGCAGGTGGATCACCCAAGGTCAGGAGTTCGAGACCAGCCTGGCCAACACGGCAAAAACCCCGTCTCTACTAAAAATACAAAAATTAGTCGGGCAAGTGGCATGCACCTGTAATCCCAGCTACTTGGGAGGCTGAGGCAGTAGAATCACTTGAACCTGGAGGCAGAGGTTGCAGTGAGCCGAGATTGTGCCACTGCACTCCAGCCTAAGCGACAGAGCAAGATTCTGTCTCAAAAAAAGAAAAAAGAAAATCAAGGCACAGAAGAAAGCGACTTGTCAATGCTACACAGCAGGAGAGGCAAACAGAGCTCACTTCGGAGGACATATTTCAAGGTCCTAGGCTTTCTCTACCTGGGCGAGATGCCATGTTATTATCCAGAACGAGGGTCAGGCGCCCTCTAAGACCAATTCTGAATACTTCAAAATTCACGCGTCCCTTGGGACCTCCCCTTCATGCAGGGCACACCTAGGCCACCTCTGATTTTCAGGGCCTGCCTGAATGGCGGTCACCAGCTCCAATGAATGGCCTGCTTTGTGCTAATGCCCTCCTTTCTCCCTGCCCTACTGTAGGCTAGGAGGAATGGTACAGGTGAGTTCCTCCATGCTTGGATTTACTGTCTGGCACATGCGCTCACTAGCCCTTGGCCCTATGGAAGGGATGTGTGGGTCCTGCCCCTTCAAGCCCTTAGTGCCTGGGTCCACCTCCAGACATACCCGCCTGCCTCTGTCTTCCTCTCTGCAAGGGAGTGGGGGTGATCTAGAGATCAAAGGGCAGTCCGGTACAGTGCTAGGGAAGTTTACAGCTACAGCCGAGGAAAGAGTAAACATCCCGTGACGAGGGCCCCAGCATTTGCTGAACACCTGTTGCATGTCAGACGTGGGGCTCCCACTACTGCCAGGTGACCACTGTGCAAGATAGGTACACTCTGATTCGACAGAGGAAGCTGAAGCTCAGGGAGGTGAAGGCACCTTGGCCTAGTAAAGGCATTCAGACTAAAGTGGAATTCTGCCTGATGCTGAAGCCCCTTCCCTCCACTTTGCTGCCACTAGGATGGGGGAAGCTCTGGAAGACTTCTTAGGGAAGTGGTGTATAAACTGTGTGTCACACTTGTTTTTATTTTATTTTATTTTTTTTGGAGACAGGGTCTTGCTGTGTCCCACAGGCTGGAGTGCAGTCGCATGATCACAGCTTACCATGGCCTCAAACTCCTGGCTCAAGCAATCCTTCCATCTCAGCCTCCCAAGAGGCTAGGACTACAGGCACACACCACCACGCCCAGCTAATTTTTAAAATTCATCCCACATAGAAGAGGGGGAAAGGCATGAAAGGGCATTTGTGGCAGAGGAACAGTGTGAGCAAAGACCAATAGTCTGGGAAAAGGAGGAGGATAGGCTGTGGGCGGAGCAGGAAATGTGGGTGGTTCTCTTTGCCAAGGATTCTGAATGCCAGATGAGCAGGATGAATGTATCTTGTGGGCACCAGAGAGGCCTGGGCCTCAGCCTGCCCCCTGTAAAATGAGGTGATTAGACTGGTCTGCTTCAAGCCTTCCTAGGGCAAGGGGCTGTCACAGAAAGGGTCTACTCTAGGTTCTTCCAGGTTCAACCCTGGAAAGGCAGAATGGGAAGTGGCTGGAGCAGCTCAGAGGCTAGGGGTAATATTTTGCTCCAGAGCTCAAGTCTGAGAATGACTATTTTACCAAGCTGTCTGTGTTGCATCCCTAAGTCACCCTGGCTAACCCTCCACCCAGTCAGGGTCCTTCAGAGAAAGCCCAGGCCTTGGGTCAGGAGGCAAGAAGGGTGATGGGTGTCTTACCCCTGGCTCCAACCCTAGGTAAGGGTTGGCCCTCTTGGAGCTTCAACTTGCTCATATGCACAATGGAGGAGCTGTGCCTTGGGCTCTCTAAGCCTCTCTCCCCAGGACAGCACTGTCATTCTGGAGACGGGAACAGCATTAGCAAAGGAACGGAAGTAGGATTGTGACGACCTTGTTGGGCAACAGACAGGCAGGTGAGGCTGGAGAATGGAGCCCCTAGAGGTGGATGGTTCTTGTTGGGGTTGGCTGGATCCAAGGGGTATGACCTTCCTCCTTATGTGCAGAACTGGATGCGTCCTAGGTCATGGCCAGCAGCCCTCGGAGTGGGACTGAGGACCTGCTGGGAAACCAGTTTGGCAAGGCCATCATCTCCAGGATGTCATCCAGCCGCTGTGTTCTCTGGGCAACAGTGCCAGGCAAACTTCTGGCCCTGCAGGAGGAGAAGGGGCCTCAGATGCCCACTGGGCAGCAGTGAATTCCAGGAGACCCAGCCTCACAGACAAAGGAGAGGCAAGGGGCTGGAACAGGAAGGAGAGAGTTCTGGATGTGCCAGCCTGGACCTCTTTAGACTTCTGGGAGTCCCTGATGCCTGGGCGCAGGGAGTGGGGGTCTAGGCTCATGGTGGGACACTATGTAATTGCTACCTGATGGGTTGGACACTGGCTCCTGATCATGCTTATACTACATGTGTGGCAATTTTGTTACCACTATGACCTTCACAGCTTGAGTCCTGTGAGGTAGGACCACCATTATACAGATAAGGAGACAGGCTCAGAACCCTCGTTCTTTTGTTGTTTTTTTTTTTGTTTTGTTTTGTTTTTGAGACAGAGTCTCACTCTGTCGCCCAGGCTGGAGTGGAGTGGCACAACCATGGCTCACTGCAGCCTTGACCTCCCAGGCTCACAGTGGGACTACAGACACGTGCCACCATGCCTGGCTAATTTTTTTATTTTTTGTAGAGACAAGGGTCTCCCTATGTTGCCGGGGCTAGTCTCGAACTCCTGGGTTCAAGAAATCCGCCTGCCTTGACCTTCCAAAGTGCTAGGATTACAGGCGTGAGCCACTGCGCCCGGCCAGAACATTTGTTCTTAATCACCATATTCTACCATCCACCATTTGGAAGCTCCACTTGGATGACGCCTGAGCACTGGGGAGACCTGGGCCTCAGTCTGCCCATCTGTAAAATGAGGGGGTTTGACTCGCCTCCTTCAGGCCCTCCTAGGGCAAAAAACTGTAACAAGAAGGGTCTAGATTCTTCCAGGTTCAGCTCTGGACTGGCAGAGTAGGGAGTATCTGGAGCAGCTCAGGGGCTGAGGGTATTTTGGCTCCAGAGTCCAGTCCGAGAATGAATATTTTACCAACCTGTCAGTGTGGGATCCCAGCAAACCCTTCTCTCTACTTCTGAACATAGCACCTGAATCTTGGCATCACAGAGTCCTAGATACCCACCTTATGGTTCAAATAGGTAACTGAGTCCCAGAGAGGACAAGGGACAGGCTTCAGGTAGTGTAGCAAATCAGGAGCAGAGCCATTCTGCATCCCAGATTCTCAACCTCTCAAAACTTTGTTTCCTCCTCAGGGCCTGGCACACTTAAGCATGAAATAACTGACACATATTGAGTGCCTATGGCATACCATGCACTCATGTAACCATCACCACAGCCCTATAAAGCAGATGCTAATGTTCTGTCCCTTTTATGGGCAAAGAAACTGAGGCTCAGAGAGGGGAAGTCATTTGTCCAAGTTGACACTGCATGTTGGTGGTAGCGAAGGGATTTGAACCCAGGTATATAGGCCCTTCCCCCTCAGCAGATCCAGTAAGCCTCACTGGAGGCATGAAGACCTGTAGACAGCGGGGTGGATGGCTCCTTTGCCGGTTCTGAAGGCACGCAGTGTCCAATTCAGAGTTTCCACGCAGGCCTGGCCTCTCTGGGGCAGGGAGAAAAGTGCTGAGGCTGCAGAAGGGCTCTGCATCTTCCCAGAGGAGGCGGCCACGGTGGGAGGGAGTGCTCTGCAACAACCTCAGAGCCAAGTGTAGACGTGGCGGCTGGACCAGCTGCAAGCAAGGGAAGGCAGGCAGGGTGGGGCCCAAACCCAAACCCAGCCTCCAAGCCGTGTTCCCAGCCTTCCGCCAGCCAGGCCCTGCCCTACCCGCCCTTCTCGATCCCCATCTGGATTTGAGATGAGGACGCCGGGCCTAATAATAGCCAAATGGCACGGAGGCAGTGCCTGGAGCCACTGCCAGTTGGGGCCTGGGGTCCCCCATGGTCTCATATTGGCCTCCAACAGGGTTCAGAACTTTAAAAGTACTGCATTCCAGCCTGGGCGACAGAGCGAGGCCTTGTCTCAAAAACAAAAACAAAAACAAAACAAAACAAAACAAAAACCCTTTAAAATAGCAACTGCTTATGAAGTTTATAATATGTGCTGGGCACTGGGCTAAAGCTTAGCCCACAGTAACTTACTTATTCCTCACCCTACCCCCACTGGCTAAGACTATTCCTTTTTTTTTTTTTTTTTAAGACAGAGTCTCGCTCTGTCACCCAGACTAGAGTGCAGTGGCGCAATCTTGGCTCACTGCAACCCCTGCCTCCCGGCTTCAAGTGATTCTCCTGCCTCAGCCTCCCAAGTAGCTGGGATTACAAGGGCCCGTCACCACGCCTGGCTAATTTTTGTATTTTCAGTAGAGACGGGGTTTTGACATGTTGGCCAGGCTGGTCTTGAACTCCTGAACTGAGGTGATCCACCTGCCTCGGACTCCCAAAATGCTGGGATTACACCGCGCCTGGCCGGGCTAAGACTATTCTTAGCCCTTTTGATGGATGGAACACTGCCCCTGATGATAACAGGAACTTGGCAGCCTTCAATTGCTGAGCATGCACACTGTCCCTCCTTGGCACTCTGCTAAGCACTTTCTTTGTATTTTCCCATTGATTCCCCATGGCATTATGAGACAGATGCTAATTTCTTTAGACGAAGAAAAAAAATGAGGCCCAGAGAGAAAAGTGACTTGCCCAAGGTCACACAGCTATAATGGACAGAGTCGAGACTCAAACCTAGGACTTTCTAACTGTAGAGAGGCTAAGACCTTAGCTTCTGGAAACAGACAAACTTGAGTACGGTGGGGACATCACTGCTCCCTAGCTATGCAGCCTTGGCAAGTCACATCACCTGCCTGAGGCTCTTGTTTTCTCCTCTGTAAATTGGGGGTTTGGTTGAGATAATACTAACACTCCCTGACAGCTATTAAGCCCACCTTGGGTGTAATAAAATAGGTAATTTACAGCACACGTTTCCACGGTGCATTCCCTCAGTCAATTCTCACAATAGCCCCCAACGTTAGGACTCCTCTCTTCCAGCACCTGTGTTTTGTTGTTGTTGTTGTTGTTGTTTTTGTTGTTTTTTGAGACAGTTTCACTCTTGTCACCCAGGCTGGAGTGCAATGGCACAATCTCAGCTCACTGCAACCTCCGCTTCCTGGGTTCAAGCGATTCTCTTGCCTCAGCCTCCCGAGTAGTGAGTAGCTAGGATTACTGGTGTGCACCACCACGCCTGGCTAAGTTATATATTTTTAGTAGAGACAGGATTTCACCATGTTGTCCAGGCTAGTCTTGAACTCCTGACCTCAGGTGATCCGCCCTTCTTGGCCTCCCAAAGTGCTGGGATTACAGGTGTGAGCCACCATGCCCAGCCCCAGCACCTGTTTTATAGAAGGGAAATGTCAGTCTCAGGGAGGGGAAGGCATTTGCCCAAAATCAATAGCAAGTGAGTCAGGACTTAAGCCCAGGGCTGTGATTCTAGAGGCTGAGCTCTTTTTTATTTTTTAAGACAGGATCTCTGTCACCCAAGCTGGAGTGCAGTGGTGCGATCATGGCACACTACAGCCTTGACCTGTCTGGGCTCAGGTGATCCTCTCACCTCAGCCTCCCGAGTAGCTGGGACTACAGGCACTCACCACCACACCTGACTAATTTTTATAGAGATGGAGTTTCCCCATGTTGTCCAGGCTGGTCTCAAACTCCTGGTTTCAAGTAATCCGTCCACCTCAGCCTCCCAAAGTGCTGGAATTACACAGGTGTGAGCCACCATGCCCAGGCAGGCATGTGACTATTTTTGGCCAATAGAATATACGGAAGTGGCATTGCCAGTTCGAAGCCTGGGTGTTAAGAGATTGGGCCTTAAGAGATTCCACTTATTCTCTTGGAACTCTCGCAGCTGTTATGTGAACAAGCCTGGGCTATCCTGCCTAAGAGACCACTGGAACAGGGACTAGTTATCCTAGCTGAAGCTGTCCTAGTCAGTCACCAGCTAATCCAATAGCTGACCACAGATACATGAGTAAGCCCAACTGAGACCAGAAAAATCTTTAGCTGAGCCCAGGCTAAAGTGCCAATCCATGAAATCTTGAGCTAAAAAAACGGTTGCTGTTTTAAGGCACTAAGTTTTGGGGTGGTTTGTTATGTAGCATTGTTGTGGCAATTGATAACTGATACACTGTTTTATTCAGTGTAATTAATGCTGACTGCTGTAACAAACCAAATATCTCAGTGGTTTAACCCAATCAGAGTTTATTTCTCACCCCTGCAAAGTCTGATACAGGTTGGGGCTCTCCCAGGGAGCTCTTTTCCAAGCAGTGACCTTGCCCCCGAATCCTGCCTCCACCCCAGGCTTTCCCTGGAATCTATTCCTGAATCCTCTGCATGTGGAAAGGGAATCAGAAAATCAAAGGAGGCACATCCACACTTAACTGCCTTTGCGCAGGGGTCACGTATAATTTCACTGGCCTTTATGTAGTCACGTGACTCTACTAACTGCAGGAAAAATGAGAACATGACCTTCCTGTGTGTCCAGGAAAAGGAAACAGGTTACAGAACACAAAGCATTGCTTCCGTTACATTCCTCCTGTTGTGGGGCTGGCGTGCATGCGTGCATGCGTGCGTGCGTGTGTATGTGTGTCTGTGTCTGTATGTGTGGTGGGAGTTGGAGGGGCATGTGTGTTAAGCAGAGAATTAACATCTATAAAGAATCAACAGTGGTGCATGCCTGTAATCCCACTACTCTGGGAAGCTGAGGCAGGAGGATCGCTTGAGCTCAGGAGGTTGAGGCTACACTGAACCGAGATCATGCCATTGCACTCTAGCCTGGGTGACAGAGCAAGACCCTGTCTCAAAAAAAAAAAAAAAAAAAAAGAGAGAGAGAGAGAATCAACTTCAGCACCTACCATGTGTTAGCTTAAATAAGGGACAAGTTATAGGTAAAGAATTTGAGGCTCAGCTTAACTGGTCCTGGTGCCGCACGCCTGTAGTCCCGGCTACTTGGGAGGCTGAAGTGGGAGGATCACTTGAGCCTAGGAGGTTGAGGCTGCAGTAAGCAGAGATTGCCCACTGCATTCCAGCCTGGGTGACAGAGTAAGACCTTGTCTTAAAAAAAAGAAAAAGAGGCTGGGCACAGTGGCTCATGCCTGTAATCCCAGCACTCTGGGGGGCTGAGGCGGGCAGATCACCAGAGGTCAGGAGTTCGAGACTAGCCTGGCCAAGATGGTGAAACCCTGTCTGTACTAAAAATACAAAAATTAGCCAGGCGTGGTGGCGGGCACCTGTAATCCCAGCTACTTGGGAGGCTGAGGCAGGAAAATGGTTTGAACCCGGAAGGCGGACGTTGCAGTGAACTGAGATCGTGCATTGCCCTCCAGCCTGGGTGACAAGAGGGAAATTCCATCTCAAAAAAAGAAAAAGAAAAAAAGAATCTGAGACTCAGAAAGGTTGAGGAACTTGCCCCAAATCATACAGCAAGCCAGTTGAGTAGCTATTTTGCAGTAGTGAAGGGCTCAGGGAGATCTGGAGTTGGACAGATCTAGGTGCGAATCCCAACTCTGTCAATTCTTTACTGTGTGACATTTGGCAAGTTACTTAATTTCTCTAGGCCTCAGTTTCCTCATCCACAAAATGGGGAGCTAATACTTCCAACCTTATAAGGTTGGGAGTGATCATTCACGGAGCTTGCATGGGATGGGGATCCTGGTACATGGGACTTACATAATGAATGTCAGCCACATAGGCAGAAATGATGCTATCTCTGATCTTACCCTGCCAGGGTCCATGAATTTGGCCAAGGGGATTTATTATGTTTTGGACAAATCCTATCCCTTCCCTCTATCTCTTGTGGTGTAAATGGTTTTATTTACTTCATTAAGAGATGGCAATATGGCTAAGTGTGGTGGCTTATGCCTGTAATCCCAGCACTTTGGGGGGCTGAGGTGGGAGGATCGCTTGAGTCCAGGAGTTCGAGACCAGCCTGGGCAACATGGCAAAACCCCATCTCTACAAAAAATACAAAAATGAGCTGGGTGTGGTGGCATGCACCTATAGTCCCAGCCACTTGGGAGGCTGAGGTGGGAGAATCCCTTGAGCCTGGAAGGTGGAGGTTGCAGTGAGCCGAGATCATGCCACTGCACTCCAGATTGGGTATCAGAGTGAAACTCTGCCTCCAAAAAAAAAAAAAAAAGAGAGAGAGAGAGAGAAAGAGAGAGCTAGAACTATTTCCCCAGTTGAATTTTTTTTAATTAATTAAGTTTTTAATTTTTTGAGACAGGGTCTCACTCTGTCTCTCAGGCTGGAGTGCAATGGCGTGATCGCAGCTCACTGCAGCCTCGACCTCCTGGGCTCAAGCGATCCTCCCACCTCAGCCGGTGCATGCCACTATGCCCAACTAATTTTATGTATTTTATTTTTTGTAGAGATCAGGTCTCACTTTGTTGCCCAGCTGGTCTCAAACTCCTGGGCTCAAGCAATCCTCCTGCCTCAGCCTCCCGAAGTGCTAGGATTACAGGTGTGAGCCATGATGCCCGCTCCAGCTGAATATTTGTTACTGAACAAACCTTCATAAGCACAAAGCCCCTGAACACCTATGGCTGCTGACACATGCCTGAAATGCCTCCATTATTGCTTTTTTTTTTTTTTTTGAGACAGGGTGTAGCTCTGTTGCACAGGTAGGAGTGCAGTGGCGCAATCATGGCTCACTGAAGCCTTGAACTCCTGGGCGCAAGCAATCCTCCTGCCTCAGCCACCAAAGTAGCTGGGACTACAGGCACACACCACCATGTCTGGCTAATTTTCTTATTTTTTGTACAGATGGGATCTTGCTGTGTTGCCCAGACTGGTCTGGAATTCCTGGCCTCAGCAATACTCCTGCCTTGCCTCCCAAAGTATTGGGATTACAGGAGTGAGCCACTGCACTCAGGCTTAAATCGTTTTCTTTTCTTTTTTTTTTTTTTTTTTGAGACAGAGTTTCACTCTGTCACCCAGGCTGGAGTGCAATGGCGTGATCTCAGCTCACTGCAACCTCTGCTTCCCGGGTTCAAGCAATCCTCCTGCCTCAGCCTCCCAAGTAGCTGGGATTACAGGCTCCTGCCACCACACCCGGTTAATTTTTGTATTTTTAGTAGAGACGGGGTTTCAAGATGTTGGCCAGGCTGGTCTTGAACCCCTGACCTCAAGTGATCCACCCACCTGGGCCTCCCAAAGTGCTGGGATTACAGGCATGAGCCATCGTGCCCGGCTGGCTTAAATAATTTTTAAAGTTTTGTTTTGAACAGGTAGTTCTGGGAGGTCAGAGGAGTTATCTCTCAGGAGATAATTATGCTCAAGTCTGGAAGATAAGAAATTGTTGAACAAAAAACTAAGTTGGTCTCGACGTGGGGGTGGGGGTGTTCCAGGCAAGGGGAACAGACTACGCAAATGTCCCGAGGCAGGAACAATCTCCAGAAACTGATGGAAGACCAACGTGAGTGAAGTATGAAGGGTAAGGGAGAAGTGGGGTTTGGATGGGGAGAGGGGAAAGGCCCAGACTGAAAGGCCCCTGTGGGAACCTTCACAATTTGCAGGGCCTGGTGCAAAATGAGAAAACGGAGCTCCTTGTTCAAAAATTCTGAAGTATTTCAAGATAGTGACAGCAGAGCATTACACCGACCCTTCATTACGTGAAGCTGGCCCTGCCCATGGCCCATAGTAAGAGGAAAGGACTTTCATGTGAGGGCTGCAGGGAGCCATGGAAGGTTTTTGAGCTAGAGGTGATCAGATCTGATTTGCATACGCTTCAGTTGCTGTCCTCACTACCCCACACCTGGATGATGTGTGTCTCTGCACAGGTGGCCTGCTTCACTTTCCTCTTCAACATGTCACTCCCCTGCTCAAGAACCTGGGGTGGTTCCTACTTCCTATTAGACCCAGCCCAGATTCCCTATCCAGACACCCAGAGGCCCTTCAAAATCTTCCCTTACTGGATTTAGTTAATCTAATGTCAACAAAGGCTGTGTGCTGAATCCCAGAGAGATGATGAATCAACCCAAGTTCACACAGCAATTATAGGAGAGCAAGTCAGGGCTGGAACCCAGGTTTCCTGAGGTCGGCCCACCCAGCCCTGAGCGAGGGTGCAGTCCTATGAAGTGTTTTGTGTCCCCCATCCTAGCACAGAGCCATGCACACAGTTAGGTGCTCAATCTGTGCCTGTGGCCGTGAGTTCGTTCCTCTTAGGGCACATCTCTGCCAGGGCATGGGTGTCCCAGAATCCAGGATGCAGTTAGCATCCTTCCTGACTCCTTCTCTCCCTCGTCCCTACCTCTAGGCGTTCACCAAGCCCCACCGCACCCAGGCCAGCTGGCCAGGTCTTGCCCATAGACTTGTTGTTTGGCCTGTGCAGTGTTTTAAAGCTTTTCGAATTCATCGTTCTAACATTTTAAAAAATCTGGAAACTTCACATGGCAATCCCCATCTTGTGTCTCTTTGCAAAGTCTCAAGCCTGGGTCTGGGTTCCTTTGGGGAGGCAGTTCTCTCCAACCTCTGAGCTTGGGGTGGGTGAGGTGGGGAACGGTCGCTCTAGTCCCCAGCGGGGCGCCTGAATTTGGGACTTTGAAGCGAGAGTGGCCTAATTACCACCAAGGACCAATAAGGATCCTGGAAGAGAGCGCCCTAGTTACCACCAAGGACCAATAAGGATCCTGGAAGTTGATTCAATCAGACGTATAATAACCCCTCCTTCTGGAGCGGGGCCAGGTGGGGGCAAACCCCGCCTCCGGTCTTCTAACAACAGGGAGTAGGAGGGGTGTTTTGCCCTAAACCTTACAACTAGCCCCAACCTGATGTTTGACTTCTGAATCGCTTAGGGCTTCATAGATAAGATGAATGCCCCTGAGAGAGGCCATGCTGCTTTCTCTCCCCTGGCCTCTGCCTTTGCTTTCTTCTCCCCTGGGACTGTGCTCTTCAACCACATCTTCACTCTGGCTGGCTCCAGATTACCATTCAGATCTTAACTCACACATCACCTCCTTAGAAAGGTCTTCCCAGAGCACGTATCTGAAGCTCCCCAAAATTACTCTGTACTGTAATTACTCCCCATCACAGCACTGACGATCGGAAATGATTAATTTTTTTGTTGTTTGTCTCCTGCTAGACTGTGAGCTCTGAGAAGCCAGGGACTTGGGTTTGTCTCGCTCAACACGGTCCCCAGGACCTAGAAAGGATCTGGCGTCAACGAAGGGGCTCAACACACGTGTGGAACAAATGAACCACTGGATTCACAAAACACCTTTCCCTGAAGGATGCATGTGACCCCTTGGTCAGCCAGCCAGCATGGGTGGGAGCCAGTAAGGAGGCAGCCAATTTGCAATTAGGGAGCAATTAATAACTACCTAATTGGTACAAAAGACAGCTGAGGGGCTGGGAGGAGAACAAGGGAATGAAGCTCAGAAAGGAGCCTCAGGTCTTTCTTGGAAAATACTGGGAGCAGGCAATGAGGAATCCCCGGGGTAACATTTGAAAACCTCTTCTGTTATTGGAGATTCAAATGATCAGAAGCTCCCCTAAAAGGACTTGGTCCCTTTAAAACATTTTTTTTTTTTTGAGATGGAGTTTCACTCTTGTCACCCAGGCTAGAGTGCAATGGCGCGGTCTTGGCTGACTGCAATCTCCGCCTCCCAGGTTCAAGTGATTCTCCTTCCTCAGCCTCCCGAGTAGCTGGGATTACAGGTGTCCACCACCACGCCCGGCTAAATTTTGGATTTTTAGTAGAGATGGGGTTTCACCATATTGGCCCGTTGGTCTCAAACTCCTGACTTCAGGTGATCCACCCGCCTCGGCCTCCCAAACTGCTGGGATTACAAATGTGAGCCACTGTGCCCAGCCAAAACATTTTTTAATGGTTTGTAGAGATGAGATTTCGCTATGCCCAGGCTGGTCTTGAACTCTTGGACTCAAGGGATCTGCCCACCTTGGCCTCCCAAAGTGCTGGGATTATAGGCATGAGCCACCGAGCCCAGCCAGGACTTGGTCCTTTAAGAAGCAGGTGTGGGCCAGGCGCGGTGGCTCATGACTGTAATCCCAGCACTTCAGGAGGCTGAGGCAGGCGGATCACAAGGTCAGGAGATCGAGACCATCCCGGCTAACATGGTGAAACCCTGTCTCTACTAAAAATACAAAAAAAAAATTAACTGGGCATGGTGGCAGGCGCCTGTAGTCCCAGCTACTCAGGAGGCTGAGGCAGGAGAATGGCGTGAACCCGGGAGGCAGAGCTTGCAGTGAGCCAAGATCGTGCCACTGCACTCCAGCCTGGGCAACAGAGGGGGACTCGTCTCAAAAAAAAAAAAAAAAAAAAGAAGAAGAAGCAGGTGCGCCGGGCGTGGTGGCTTATGCCTGTAATCCCAGCACTTTGGGAGGCCTAAGGGGGAGGATCACGAGGTCAAGAGATCAAGATCATCCTGGCCAACATGGTGAAACCCCATCTCTACTAAAAATACAAAAGTTAGCTGGGTGTGGTGGCACGCACCTGTAGTCCCAGCTACTCAGGAGGCTGAGGCAGGAGAATTGCTTGAACCTGGGAGGCGGAGATTGCAGCGAGCCAAGATCATGCCACTGCACTCCAGCCTGGCGACAGAGCAAGACTCCGTGTCAAAAAAAAAAAAAACCTTTCTGGTCATGGTGGTGTGTGCCTGTAGTCCCAGCTACTCAAGAGGCTGAAGTAGGAAGATTGTTTTAGCCCAGGAGTTTAAGCTTGCAGTGAGTCATGATCACACCACTGCACTCCAGCCTGGGCAACAGAGACAGACTCTGTCTCTAAATAAATAAGTAAATCCTGCCTTAGATTAAAATTGCAGGCCAGGTGTGGTGGCTCACACCTGTAATCCCAGCTCTTTGGCAGGACGAGGTGGGTGGATTGCTTGAGCTTAGGAGTTCGAGAGCGGCCTCGGCAACATGGCAAAACTCTGTCTTTACAAAAAAATACAAAAGTTAGCCAGGCATGGTGGCGTACACCTGCAGTCCCAGCTACTCAGGAAACTGAGTTGGGAGGATCACTTGAGCCTAAAAGGTTGAGGCTGCAGTGAGCTGTGATTGTGCCACTGCACTCCAGCCTGGGCAACAGAGTGAGACCCTGTCTCAAAAAATAAAATAAAATAAAACAAAATAAAAAAAATTACTGTTGGATTAATTAGGAGGTTTGATATGGAGTAAGTCATCCTTTCATGTTTTGAAGTAACTTTAAAGTGTGTCCACTCAGTAAGACACAAGTATCCATTTGGGCTTCTTCAATATTCTATGGGGTTTGGCTGGGCACGGTGGCTCACGCCTGTAATCCCAGCACTTTGGGAGGCCAAGGAGGGCGGATCACTTGAAGCCAGGAGTTCGACACCAGCATGGTAACACAGTGAAACCCCATCTCTACTAAAGATACAAAAATTAGCCAGGCGTGGTGGTGCATCACTGTAGTCCCAGCTACTTGGGAGGCTGAGGCACAAGAATTGCTTGAATCTGGGAGGTAGAGGTTGCGTGAGCCAAGATCGTGCAACTGTACTCCAGCCTGGGCGACAGAGCGAGACTCTGTCTCAAAAATAAAATAAAATAAAATAAAATATTCTATGGGGTTCAAGAGTTTCCTTTTTAGGGCCAAAGCATTATTATTGGAGGAAGGCAATCCCTACTTCTCCCACTTATTTCTGCCATAGGAGGAAGGTTCTCCTGCCCAACACCCACAGGCCCAGGCACCTGGAGGCAACTCTAAAAACAGCAGGAGACTACTGAAGGAAATTGTCCATCTCTATGAGGCGCTCCTTGTGTCTCCAAAATTTATTAAATGACATCACAGTAAGGCTTGGCAAGTAGGATAAGGGAGTTAGACCAGGGAGGACAGACAGAAGTCTGCAGGCCTGAACACAGGCAGGAAGGAAAAGGGAAATGCAAACAGGAGAGGAGAGGCCAGAGCTGAGCACTGCAGAAGGAGAATGAACAACCCTAGTTTGTATTACAGAACACGTTCACAAGTACGGTCTGCCTTTATCCTCAGCAGTTCTTACTGGTAAGATATAATGATATCCATTTTATAGATAAGGATCCTAAAGCCCAGCAAGGTCATGGATCTACACATAACTGAGCCACACATCTTAGATCAGTGCTTTTTCTGCTTGGCACACCCCACAGGGACTGGCACATAATGGGTAAAGAGTTGACATTTACTGAAGAAAAGTAGACGGCATGCATTTGACAGCACTTAAAAAAAAAAATGTAGGCCAGGCGCGGTGGCTCACGTCTGTAATCCCAACACTTTGGGAGGCCGAGGTGGGCGAATCACCTGAGGTCAGGAGTTTGAGACCAGCCTGGCCAACATGGTGAAACCACGTCTCTACTAAAAAATACAAAAATTAGCCAGGCATGGTGGTGGGCCCCTGTAATCCCAGCTACTCGGAAGGCTGAGGCAGGAGAATCGCTTGAACCCAAGAGGCAGAGGTTGCAGTGAGCCGAAATGGCACCACTGCACTCCACCCTGGGTGACAGAAGGAGATTTCATTTCAAAAAAACAAACAAACATACCGTAAATGTCAAGAAATTTACATTTTTGCATGGTCTTATTATCTCCCCACAAGATAATTACTAATTACAAAAGGACACTTATTATAAAATTATAAAAGAGAAACCCAGCAGATAACCTCTTTAA
Source organism: Homo sapiens (assembly GCF_000001405.40). Taxonomy (NCBI): domain Eukaryota; kingdom Metazoa; phylum Chordata; class Mammalia; order Primates; family Hominidae; genus Homo; species Homo sapiens. Next base: position 31,065,222 of record NC_000022.11, on the reverse strand, counting down.
CCACATGATCAGTGTTAACATGCCCAGTAATAAGTCATATCAACAGAAAGTAGCCCCTGATCTGATGCACTAAGAAGGGCATAACGTTACTTCTGTGATATTCTTGCCAAAAGTGCATAAGCTCAATCTAATCACCAAAAAAAAAATCAGACATTCAAATTGAGGGATATTCTATAAAATGACTGAACAGTACGTGTCAGGGTCATTTGAGAAAAAAAGCGAGAGGCTGAGGAGCTGTCATAGATTAGAGAAGACTAAGAAGACATTACAACTAAATGCAATGTTGGACCTTGGATTAGATCAAAAGGAAAACAGCTAAAATTCAAATAAGGTATGTAGGTTACTGTACCAGTGTTAATTTCCTGGTTCTGATAATTGTACTAAGGTGAGGTAAGATGTTCCTATCAGGGAAAGCTAGGTGAAGGTGTAGGAAATGAAGAGTTTAGGATAACTCTGAACTATTTTTGCAACGTTTCTGTAAGTCTAAAATTATTTCAAAATTAAACACCAAAATAACTATAAAATATAATTTATATATGAATTATATCTAAATTTTGAAAACTATAGCTAGGTGTGGTGGTGTGCACCTGTAGTCCCAGCTACTCTGGAGGCTGGGGCTGGAGGGCCGCTTGAGCCCAGGAGTTCAAGGCTGCAATGAGCTATGATCGCACTGCACTCCAGTCTGGGAGGGAGAGCGAGACACACCATCTGTAAAAATAAAAAACCTATGAAATCTTGACAAAGTGAGACATTCATATTTAATTCTTTCGGATGCTATCTTCTCCATTACCAGGGATCATCTTTCTTTTCTAATGTGAGGTGGCATTTAGAATCTCTGTACGTTCCAGATGATTCTCGGCTTCAAGACCCAGCTCGAATGCCACCTCTTCCAAGAAGCTCTGACTGATCACCACAGTTGCACAGCTAGAAATTGTGTCTTCATCCCCTAAATGCCCATGACATTTTTTGTGCGCATCTATTAGGGCATTTATCATCTCCATAGTGGACATCTATGGTATTCTCTTCCCAGCTCACCTGCCCAGTTCTGCTTCTTCCTCTTCTGACTCCAACCATGCCGTTCTCATGGGAGCTGCCATGTTGTTACAGACCCCACAGCTGATTGGTCCAGAGATAGACATCTGACCCAGCTGGGCCAATCAGACACCTTCCCTGTTTTTGTGGCAGTTGCTTTCTTTTTTCTTTCTCACTGAAACTGAGTTAAGTTTAACCTAAAGCTTCTTCCTTACCTGTTGTATATTAATTTGGGTCTAAAGGTTTCTCCATACATTGTGAACTGTAATCTAATTAGGTATGTAAACAGACCGTAAGGTACTCTTGTAACAAGTGGCTAGGTCTCATCCAGTCACAGCTGCTGAGTTTCAGCCAATTGCAGGCCGACCACAGTTCAAACAGTGTACCAATAATGCCAACCGTAACCAATCTAGCTGTTTCTGTACCCCACTTCTGTTTTCTGTATGTAACTTTCCTTTTTCTGTCCATAAATGTAATCTGACCCTTGTGGCAGTCTCTGAGTTGCTGTGAACCTATCCTGGTTCTGCAAGGCTCTGGATTTGTGAATTGCTCTTTCTGCAGTTACACTTTGTTAAATTTAATTTGCCTAAAGTGCCCCCCCCTCCACCGCCAATTAGAGGTAGGGACTCGCTATGTTGCCCAGACTGGACTCAAACTCCTGGGCTCAAGCGATCCTCCCACCTCAGCCTCCCAAGTAGCTGGGACTACAGGCTCGTGCCACCGTACCTAGTTCAGAGTTTTTCTGGTAACATTAGCCACCATGTTCTCTGCCACATGGAGGAACCCTGTCTGTAACTAGAGTGAGAAGACAGCTAAGGCAGAGAGAGAAGCAGAGACACAGAATGAGGAGAGAGAGAGAGAAGAGAGAGAGAGAGTGCATGCAAATGGGCTGATTCCACCTGTTCTTGAAGTTTTCTGTCCTTGCCAAGAGTGGTTGTTTGGTTGATCCCTAGTCACTACATAACCCTCAGAATCCAAAAAATCTTCTGGTAAAACCCTCTTCCAATAAATCTTTTTTTTTAAATTAAGTAATTAGAAGAGTTTTATGTGGTTCTCATCCCAAGTTGCAATGAGCTACTCTGAGTTATTTGCATACATGTTTTCTCTCTCCTACTCATCTGAGGGTTGCCAAATGCCCATCTTAGATACAGTTCTCACTGGCCCAAGGCTAGTGAGAAAACTAGGACAACATAGTGAGTCACTTACATAGGTAATTTTTAAAATTGCCAAATTCTGGGATTAGTCCTTGTTATTGAATTTTATGAGATGATGGTAACAGCAGAAAGTAGCAATTTATTTTTCCTTTTAATATTCTTTGACAAATAACAAGATGTTGGCAATTGTGTACCCCAATTTAGGAAAAAACTTTACTGGGACATGAAATCCCAGTGAAGTGCTGGCCAGGTAATGATTCCTCTGGGTGGGGCCCCCTCTTGGCTCTCAGCAGAGAGCCTTGTAAATGAGTGAGATGAGCTAATGGCTGTAGGGAGCTGTTCTGGTCTCCTGTGTCTTGTAGGAATACGATCTGATTTAGAACAGTTACAGCTTATTCATTCCCCCAGTTCTTTTACGATTTTTCAAGGAGGCTTACTTTTTATTTTTATTTTTTTACTTATTTGCAAAATACCCTATTAGTCCTGCAGGGCCCTTCCTTTCAAATTGATCTCATGTTGATTTTCTCTTTAATCCTAATCACCTGTGTAGGTGTGAGAGTTGAGGTGAAGTCTCCCATCTGGGAAGGTTGAGGGGTCGAGGGTCAGCTCGCTGTGGTGGGGAAACAGCACTGGGGTGGGAGTCAGACAGCACTGTTGTCCACCTATGGTTTCTCCTCTTGCTGGTTGCAAGGCCTCAAGCAACTTGCTTCATTTCTCTGAGCCTCAGTTTCCCCGTCTGTGACATGGGGATGATATCTAGCCTACCTTTTGCACAGGGCTGTTGCAAAGGGTTGAATAAGGCTTTGGTGGCAATTTGGAGCTGAAGGAGGCAGCAGGGGATGGGACAGGTGCCCAGTGTTGTTTTATAGAAGCTGCTAGGGGCCGGGTGTGGTGGTTCATGCCTGTAATCCCAGCACTTTGGGAAGCTGAGGCGGGTGGATCACTTGAGGTCAGGAGTTCCAGACCAGCCCGGCCAACATGGTGAAACCCCGTCTCTACTAAAAATACAAAAATTAGCCCGGTGTGGTTGCATCCGCCTGTAATTCCAGCTACTCAGGAGGCTGAGGTAGAAGAATCACTTGAACCTGGGAGGTGGAGGCTACAGTGAGCCAAGATCACACCACTGCACTCCAGCCTGAGCGACAGAGCAAGACTCCATCACAAAAAATAAAAATAAAAATAAAAATAGAAGCTGATAGGGTATATCTGAGGGGGAAAAGATTCAATAACAGAAATTGAAATGTAGGTAAGCGTGAGGAAGTTGTAAGCACTTCCTAGCTCTGTCTTTTTTTTTTTTTTTTTTGAGACGGAGTTTCACTCTTGTTGCCCAGGGTAAAGTGCAGTGGCGTGATCTCGGCTCACGGCAACCTCCACCTTCTGGGGTCAAGCGATTCTCCTGCCTCAGCCTCCCGAGTAGATGGGATCCACTTCCCAGGTTCAAGCGATTCTCCTGCCTCGGCCTCCCGAGTAGCTGGGATTACAGGCATGCGCCACCATGCCCAGCTAATTTTGTACTTTTAGTAGAGACAGGGTTTCTCCATGTTGATCAGGCTGGTCTCGAACTCGCGAGCTCAGGTGATCCACCCACCTCAGCCTCCCAAAGTGCTGGGATTACAGGTGTGAGCCACTGCACCCGGTCTCTAGCTCTGTCTCTTACTTGAATGTGATCTCACCCTGTGTGACTCAGCTTCCTCATTTGGAAATCCAGGTCTCACAGTCAGGAAGTAACTTTTTGGATACCTTACACTGAACACTGAAGGTTGCATAAGAGTTGGTTACAGGCTGGGTGCAGTGGCTCATGCCTGTAATCCTAGCACTTTGGGAGGCTGAAGTAGGTGGCTCATCTGAAGACAGGAGTTTGAGACCAGCCTGGCCAACATGGCGAAACCCCGACTCTATTAAAAATACAAAAATTAGCCAGGTGTGGTGGCACTTGCCTGTAATCCCAGCTACTCGGGAGGTTGAGGCAGGAGAATCTCTGGAACCCGGGAGGCAGAGGCTGCAGTGAGCAAAGATTGCACCACTGCACTCCAGCTGGAGACAGAGCAAGACTCCGTCTCAAAAAAAAAAGAGATACACTCCAGGTAGATGGGACTGCATGAGCAGCGGCTTGGGTTAGAAATTACGGCAGCATGGATGAGAGACACCGTTCTCATGTATTTTGTTTCAGGAGGACAATAATAATACTTGTTTATTGTGATGACAATTAAATAAGATAATGCAGGTAAGGTGCTTAGCAGAGGCTTGTACATAACCAACTCAGTAATGGTGCTTGTTTTTACCGCCATTTTTGTTGTTGTTTTTACAAATAAAGAAAACAAAGGCTCTGATAGGTGATATGTAGGCCAGGCACACAGCTATTGGTTGTTGAGCAGGATTTGAACCCACAGCTTTTATTTATTTATTTACTTATTTATTTACATTTTTAAATTTAATTTAATTAATTTTTTTTTTGAGATAGGGTCTCACTCATTGCCCAGGCTGCAGTGCAGTGATGTGATCTCAGCTCACTGCAACCTCTGCCTCCCGGGTTCAAGTGATTCTCCTGCCTTAGCCTCCTGAGTAGCTGGGACCACAGGCACATGACATCATGACCAGCTAATTTTTATATTCTTAGTAAAGACAGGGTTTCGCCATATCGGCCAGGCTGGTCTTGAACTCCTGACCTCAAGTGATCCGCCTGCCTTGGCCTCCTAAAGTGCTGGGATTACAGGCGTGAGCCCACTGCGCACAGCCTATTTATTTACTTTTAGAGACAGAGTCTCACTATGTTGTCTAGGGTGGAATGCAGTGGCTATTCACAGTCACAATCCCACCACTGATCAGCACAGTTTTGACCTGCTCCATTTTCATCTTGGGCCTGTTCACCCCTCCTTAGACACCCCTGCTTACAGGAGGTCACCATATTGAAGCTGAACTTAGCACAGACACTCGATCAATATAGTACACTACAGCCTAGAACTCTTGGGCTCAAGAATCCCTAGGCTTATCCTCCTGCCTCAGCCTTCCGAGGAGCGCGAACCACAGGGACACACCACTGTTCCCAGCACCATATCTTCTTGACAGAGACCAGGCTCTGAACCACTGTGTTCAAGTTACCCCACTGTGGGGCCTCTGTTCCTGCCCTAGGGGCCTCCCTGACTCAGCAACTGTGGGTGGCCTTGCTTCTGTGCCTGGACAGCAGAGGAGGTGAGAAGCCTTCCAGTGCCTTGAAAACTAAATACGGCCAGGCCAGGCCTCTGAGGCCCGACCCTCAGGCTTGGCCTGCTCCTGCCTGCTCATATGGGCTGTGGGGCGCTACTCCCTACTCAACTTCCTGGCTCTGCTCCAGGGGGCTCTGGCAGAACCTCCATCCAGATCCTCCTTCTCAGGATCTTGTTGGGAAAAATACTAAAAGAGAACATAAAATGAATGCCTCTTATCCATGCTGCAATAATTCCTAATTCTAAGACTTTGCTCAAGTAATTTGGTCCATGGAGTACCTCTCTAATCAGTGCTTAATGTGTCTTTGGTGGCCAGTGTGAGCTATCAGGAAGAGTTACTTTATAACTGTGAGACCTGCAGTAAGTCACTCATCTCATCCATCCACCCATCCATCCATCCATCCATCTACCCACCCATTGGGCACCTACCTGTGCCAAACACATTACATACAGACTCTTCTTCCAGACCGGAAACTCCATGAGAATTGCAGACCAGGTGTCAAAAGATAATTATTCAGGGCAGGCATGGTGGCTCACGCCTGTAATCCCAGCTCTTTGGGAGGCCGAGGTGGGCGGATCACTTGAGGTCAGGAGTTTGAGACCAGCCTGGCCAACATGGTGAAACCCTGCCTCTACTAGTAATGCAAAAATTAGCCAGGCATGGTGGCATGCATCTGTAATCCCAGCCACTTGGGAGGCTGAGACAGAGGAATCACTTGAATCCAGGAGGTAGAGGTTGCAGTGAGCCAAGATCGTGCCATTGCACTCCAGTCTAGGCAACAGAGTAAGACTCTGTCTCAAAAAAAAAAAAAGAAAAAAGAAAGATAATTATTCAACCAATATCCATGTGTCTCAATGTGTCTCCTCCAATTTATATATTGAAACGTAATCTGCAATGTGGTAGTATTAAGAGGTGGGACTTTTGGGGGCGATCACTTCATGAAGCTCCATCCTTATAAATGGGATTAGTGCCCTTATAAAAGAAGCCTGAGGGAGTTTGTTCACCCCTTCTACCATGTAAAGACATAGAAGACGTCATCTATGAGGAACAGGCCCTCATTGACACCCAATCTACTGACACCTTGTTCTTGGATTTCTCAGCCTCTAGAACTATGAGCAACATATTTCTGTTGTTTATATATTACTGAGTCTGAGGTATTTTGTTATAACAACAGGAGCAGACTAAGACAATGAACCAATGGGCCAAGGCTTGTCCTTACTACAGTCCTGGTAAGGCTGTTATCATTATCACCCCCATTTCACAGTTGAGAAGCCCGACACTCAGAGAGGGGAAGTACAAAGAACATACAGCCAGAGATGAGTGGAGCTGAGACTTGGCCAAGTTCTTAACCCTCCTAACAAAGGGAGGAACCATGCTGAGGGGCAGGCCCTGGAGGAGGACACGGACCATTTCTCCTTCAGCTCTTGGCTTCCTTGGTGGGAAGTGGATTAATTCTTTCTCTTGTCTCCCTCCTAACCAAGCCTTTGAGGGTGCCCAGCTCAGAGTCTACAAAGTCCTTTTCAAGGTTTCCAGAGCCCTCCTCTCAGCCCTGTAGGGGATTCAGGGCGGGGGGACCTTCCCCATGGTTCAGATGGGAGAATTGAGGCCTCTGTACTGCCCACAGTCACATGCCATATTAGGGGCCTGGAATCTCATGCTTCAAGAAACTGAGCATGGAACTGGCTGCTAGATATTTCCTGTAGGTGTGGTATGAAGCGCTTAGAGTCTGACAGGTCCTAGCTCTGCCACTTACAAGTTATGCAGTCTTAGAGGAATCACTTCACCCCTCTGAACCGCAGACTTCTCCCCTGAATAGTGAGGACAGTGCTAGTACCTATTTGAGAGATGTTGGGAGGATGAAATGAAAGAATGCTTGTGAAGCACTTAGCGTAGTACCTGGAACATAGTGAGTGCTCCAACAATGAGGTTATGATGGTACGAAGTACCTAAAACAGAACATCAGACTGGTAGGAGTATCCATGCTGAGGGTAATATTAGCTAATGTTTCTCTTTTTTTGAGACAGAATCTCGCTCTGTCACCCAGGCTGGAGTGCAATGGCCTGATCTCGGCTCACTTCAACCTCCACTTCCCAGGTTCAAGCAATTCTCCTGCCTCAGCCTCCCATGTAGCTGGGATTACAGGCACAAGCCACTATGCCCAGCTAATTTTTGTATTTTTAGTAGAGACAGGGTTTCACTGTGTTGGCCAGGCTGGTCTCCAACTCCTGGCCTCAAGTGATCCGCCCTCCTTGGCCTCCCAAATTGTTAGGATTACAGGCGTGAGCCACCATGCCTGGCCAGCTAATGTCTTTTTTATTGCTACTATGTACCAGACACAGTCATCTGGACAATATCCCTCTAACTTAGTGCCATTTTACAGATGTGATAACTAAGGCTTGAAATTGACTTGCCCTAGCTCCTTGCCCAGCAAGAGGAAGAGTCTGGGCCTGAACCTGAGTCTAAGTCCATGATCTCAGGAGCTCTGATCCACTGTCTTGGATTCTCCAACTCCATTATGTTGAAGCCAAGAGAGGAAAAGGGAGTTTCTCAGGGCACCATGGAAGGTGGGGGTAGGGCAGACCACACTGGGGAGGAATTTTTTCTTCCTGGCAGCTCTTCATGGGTCTGGATAATTCTCCAGCTTTAGGATTAAGGCAGAGCCTGACTAGCACATTCATAGTCCTCTGGAAGGATCCAGGGATCTGGCTTTTAGTCTCAGGCCAGCTAGCAGATTCCATTTCCACTCCCCCGACCCGAGCTTTAATGACACCTTCAGCCCCTACTCTACTCTGTGACTGCCCGTTCCCCACCCCCAGCTTTAATGCATGGGGGCCCCCTTTTTTAATCGGCTGAACCTTTAGCCAAAGAAAACTCTTTGGTGCCCGCAAAACCAGCCAGCTGCCCTGGAATGTTGGAGGGGGGTCATCAAGCTGTTTGTGAGCTGCTGGCAGAGAAAGGTGAACAGCTACCTTTTTGGGGGGAAAGTCAGAACATCATCTGTGGGAAAAGATCTAGGGCAGACCAGCTCAGAGGCTTGGGCCTCAGTTTCCCATATTCACCACCATGGCATGTATGGGGGATGAATAACTTCAGCTAAAGATTCAAGAACTATTGTTTGGGTGCTTGCTACATGCCAGGTACTGCACTGGCTGCTGCAGACACATCGGGGACAGAGTTAAGCCCTGTCCTTGGGGGCTGACATTCTAGCAGAAGGCAGTCGCTCAGTAAGTTTCCCAACAGGCTAGAGGCAGGTGCCTCAGGCCCATAAGACCTGATCAACACACTTGTGGCTGGATAGGTTTCAGAATTCATTTTTGTTTTTTTCAGCCAGGGTCTCGGTCTGTTATTCAGGCTGGAGTGCAGTGGCACAGTCATGGCTCACTGCAACCTCAAACTCCTGGGCTCAAGTGATCCTCCCGCCTCGGCCTCCCAAAGTGCTGGGATTACAGGCATGAGCCACTGCTCCCAGCCTCAGAATTCAGGATTTTTTTAGATTTTAAAAGGTAATCCAGTGGGGTCTGGATCCATCCATCTCCAATGAAACATACGAATATTTCTGTAGCTAGAAGTGTGAGTATTGACTCTAAGTGAAATGAACAGATTGCACACCCTCAGTCAATCCAGGTCAGATATTGCTCCTGAATGAGTTTTCACTAAGTGTGCAGAAAAGCCTCTGGCTGTCTGAATTTTCTGAACTTGGAGCTGTAGGTATGAGATTGAGGGCCTGATTCCTCTTCCCATTGTACAGATAAGAAAACTGAGACTCGGGACCAGAGAGTCACCTACCCAAGGCTCCTGAGCGAGCAAAACCTGCAGGTGGGTGGGAATGCAGGTCTACTGTGGCTCCAGATTGACGGCTTGCCACTAACAGGGACTGTGCCTCAGAGAGAAGCAGGGACGGGTGGAGAAGGCTCCTTGACCAAACCTTAGCGGCCCAGCAGCCAGTTCTGCCAGGAAGGAGTTAAACACTAGCTGGGCCCCTGCCAGGCCTCTGCACCACGGCTCCTCACAGGGCCTGCCTGTCTGGGGCCTGTTTACCAGGCTGTGCTTGCATCACCGGCTCTGGCTCCGACGTGCAGTGCAAACACATTCACATTCTTGGGTCATGAGAAACGCACAATTGTGGTGACATCATGCCCAGCGAGGAGGCTTTCGACAGCCTCTTTCCCGCCCCAAGTCAAAGCTGTTTAATTAGCTCCCTTTAACTGGAACTCTCTCTTCTCGTAAAAACCAACTGGAGATACTGACCAAGTGCGGGTGATGGGGATTGGAGTGTTGTGTGTTTCTGTGTGTGTGTGTTTTAAGGGATAAAAATAGCCCATCTGGGACTCCTTTTGGGGTATTTGTGAGTGTTAATGCACGAGTGTTTATATTAAATCTATGTCACACTGGACATTTTCATCCAAATTTGGGGCTTGGAGATGGAACAAGGGAAACCACCCACATCTTTTGGTTCCCTCTAGTTTTTCCTTTTGGGAGGGAGACACATGGTCCAAGTAAAAGGGCCCTGGGAGACAATTTAGATCAATCCCTCATTATACAGCCAAGGAAAAGGAGGCCCAGAGAGGGGAGGGCCTTGCCTGAGGTCACGCAGTGAGGCTCCCAGTTCCCATACCCCTGGGATGTATCTTGTGGCACGCCCCTCAGCCCCCATTTCAGCTTTATGAGCTGTTTTTCAGGGTGTTGGAAAGAGAAGTGCTCCTGGCTAGAGCTTCCTGGCTATGTTTTGAGATGAAGAGTGAACATACCAGCTTGGGCAACATAGGGAGACCCCGTCTCTACAAAAATTTTGTAAACATTAGCTGGGCATGGTAGTGCGTGCCCATGGTCCCGGCTACTCAGGAGGCTGAGGTAGGAAGATCACCTGAGTTTGCGAGGTTGACGCTGCAGTGAGCTGTGATTGGTTATTGCACTCCAGCCTGGGAGACAGAGTGAGATCCCATCTCCAAAAAAAAAAAAAAAAAAAAATGTGGGGCGGTGGGGCCAAGCACAGTGGCTCACACGAGTAATCCCAGCTCTTTGGGAGGCTGAGGCAGGCGGATCACTTGAGGTCAGGAGTTTGAGACCAGCCTGGCAGCCTGGCCAACATGGTGAAACCCCATCTCTATTAAAAATACAAAAATTAGCTGGATGTGGTGGCGGGCCCCTGTAATCCCAGCTACTCAGGAGGCTGAGGCAGGGGAATTGCTTGAACTCTGGAGGTAGAGGTTGCCGTGAGCCGAGATGGCGCCACTGCACTCCAGCCTGGGTGACAGAGCAAGACAGTCTCAAAAGAAAAAAACTGTGGATACCTTTTTTTGTGGTGGTGGTGGTGGTGGCTTCCACATGTGGTGTTGGGGTGGCAGCAGTGAATAATAAAACAAGAGACCTCAGCCTCCCCAATCTCCTGTCTTTCTTTTTTTGAGACAGGGTATTGCTCTGTTGCTCAGGCTGGAGTGCAGTGCTGTGATCACAGCCCACTGCAGCCTTGACCTCCCAGGCTCAGGTGATGCTCCCACCTCAGCCTCCAGAGTAGCTGGGACTATAGGCATGTGCCATCACACTCAGCTAGTTTTTGTGGTTTTAGTTCAGACAGGGTTTTGCCACATTGCCCAGGCTGGTCTCGAACTCCTGGACTCAAGTGATCTGCCCATCTCGGCCTCCCAAAGTGTTGGGATTACAGGCCTGAGCAACTGTGCCTGGCCACCTCCTCTTTTTCTGTCCCAACGACTTGCCTCTCCCCCGCAGATCACCCCAGGTCTTCTTTTGTTTCTCTTTCCAAAGAAGTCCCAGTCCTTGCTGACTTCCTGCGATGGCCACTGAAGCTTGTTTCTCACTTAGGGATACTAAATTGAGCCAATATAAATGTAGGACACCCAGTTGAATTTGAGTTCAGATAAACAACGTTTTAGTTTATGTCCCACGGAATATCAGGATATACATTTATCGAGCAACCCTATTTTCTTCCTCCTGCATCATCCTGGCTGTGGCAGATACTCTTGACTGCCTCCCCATTAACCTTCCTTCTACTTCCTTGATAACTGAGCCCTGATTTCTGTCTGTGGTGGCAGTGTGTCCCAGTTGGCGAACTGTGATTGGTCTAGGCTAGTCATGACAATCCTGTTCTCTGTTGTTTTCCCTGACTCCCTTGTAGTGAGAAATGATCTGATGGTTATTATTATTATTATTTTTTTTAGAGACAGGGTCTCACTCTGTTGCCCAGGCTGGAGTGCAGTGACGTGATCATAGCTCATGGCAGCCTTGAACTTGTGGCTGAGATCCTCCCATCTCAGCCTCCCCAGTAGCTGAGACAACAGGTGCATGTCACCACACCTGGCTAATTTTTTAAAAAATTTGTAGAGATGGGATCTCACTATGTTGCCCAGGCTGGTCTCAAATTCCTAGCCTCAAGTAATCCCCCTGCCTTGGCCTCTCAAAGTGCTAGGATTACAGGCATGAGCCACTGGGCCCAGCAGATCTGATGGTTTTAAGATATGCCTGCAAGTTCCTTGACATCTCTCCTTTCAGAAGGTGGAGACTCATCCCTTCCCCTTGAAAGTAGGCTGGACTTAGTGATTCATTTCAAAGAGTGATTTCTGAGGGCAGCTCATAAAAACCATTGTTGCTTCTGCCTTGCTCTCTTAAATTACTCATTCTAGCGGAAGCCTGCTGCCATGTTGTGAGGACACCCAGTAGCCCTATGGAGAGGCCTGCATGGGGAGAACCTAAGTCCTCCCATCAACAGCTAGCCCCAGCTTGCCAGGCATGTGAGTGAGCAACCTTAAAAGTGGCTCCAGACCCAGTCAAGCCTTTGAATGACTGCAGTGTGGGCCAACATTCTGACAACAGCATAAACCAGAGATATGCCTGTATTAATCATATTTTTCATTTTCTTTCTTCTTTTTCTTTCTTTTTTCTTTCTCTTTTTTTCTTTCTTCCTCTCCTTCTCTTTCTTTCTTCTTTCTTTCCTCTTTCTTTCTCTTTCTTTCCCTCCCTCCCTTCCTTCCTTCCTTCCCTTTCTTTCTTCCTCTCTTTCTTTCTTTCTCTTTCTTTCTTTTTCTTTTTCTTTTGTTTTTTTTTTGAGATGGAGTCTCACTCTGTTGCCTAGGCTGGAGTGCAGTGACACAATCTTGGCTCACTGCAACCTCTGCCTCCCGGGTTCAGGCGATTCTCCTGCCTCAGCCTCCCAAGTAGCTGGGATTACCGGCACGCTCAACCATGCCCAGCTAATTTTTGTATTTTTAGTAGAGATGGGGTTTCACCATGTTGGTCAGGCTGGTCTCGAACTCCTGACCTTGTGATCTGCCTGCCTCAGCCTCCCAAAGTGTTGGGATTACAGGCGTGAGCCACCGTGCACAGCTTCTTTTTTTTTTTTTTTTTTTTTTTTTTTTTAAAGAGACAGGGTCTTGGTCTGTTGCCCAGCCTGGAGTGCAGTAGCATGATCATGGTTCACTGCAGCCTGGAACTCTGGGGCTCAAGTGATCCTCCTGTCAGCCTCCTGCGTAGCTGGGACTATAGGCATGCACCTCCATGCCTGGCTAATTTTTTTTTTTTTTTTTTTTTTGAGACAGAGTCTCGCTCTGTTACCCAGTTTGCAGTGCAGTAGCACAGTCTCGGCTCACTGCAACCTCCACCTCCCGGGTTTAGGTGATTCTTGTGCCTCAGCCTCCCAAGTAGCTGGAATTACAGACATACACCATTAGGCCTGGCTAATTTTTGTATTTTTAGTAGAAATGGGGTTTCGCCATGTTGGCCAGGCTGGTTTCGAACTCCCAACCTCAGGTGATCTGCCCGCCTCAGCCTCCCAAAGTGCTGGGATTACAGGCGTGAGCACCCACCCTCATGCCTGGCTAATTTAAAAACATTTTTCTTTTTTTTTTTGAGGCCGTGTTTTCGCTCTTGTCACCCAGACTTGTGCCAGTGGCATGGTCTCAGCTCATTACAATCTCCACCTCTGGGTCCAAGCAATTCTCCTGCCTCAGCCTCCTAAGTAGCTGGGATTACAGGCACCCGCCACCATGCCCGATAATTTTTTTTTTTTTTTTTGAGACAGAGTCTCGCTGTGTTGCCAGTGGCGTGATTTCGGCTCACTGCAACCTCTGCCTCCCAGGTTCAAGCAATTCTCGTGCCTCAGCCTCCCAAGTTGCTGGGACTACAGGCGTGTGCCACCACACCCAGCTAATTTTTGTATTTTTAGTAGAGACAGTGTTTCACCATGTTGGCCAGGATGGTCTTGATCTTCTGACCTCGTGATCCACCCGCCTTGGCCTCCCAAAGTGCTGGGATTACAGGCGTGAGCCACTGCACATGGCCTAAAAATTTTTTTGTAGAGATGGGGGTCTCCTTATGTTGTCCAGACTGGTCTTGAACTCCCAGGCTCAAGTGATCTTCCTGCCTTGACCTCCCAGAGTGCTGGGATTAGAGGTGTGAGCCACTGCCCCCCACCATTTTTCATTTTCTTGGAGTTTGTGTGTTTCCATGTGTGTGTGTATATGTTTTAAGGGATAAAAATAGCCCATCTGGGACTCCTTTTGGGGTGTATTAATGCACCATTGTTTATATTAAATCTATGTCAAACTGGACATTTTCTCATATTTTATGTTGTTTTTGACATATTTAAGGGAGGGCTTGCCGGCTGGAAAGAGACTTCTGCTTTTAGGGCTAGGTAATTTCTAGAGACAGTGAACAACTTGTCAGTGAGCCCACCTTTTATACACAAACCAGTGAATTTCAAGTCCATATCCTCAGCCTCCTTTATCCAATTCTCATACACCCTGCCCTAAATCAATCTAGGGCCAGGTACCGGGCAACTAGGAACAGCCCCTATTCCCCAAAGCTCTCTGGAATGATTCGAACTAGGCAGTCCTAAACTGTTTACCACACCCTGCCTTGCCTTCCTGTGGAAAACAAAATAAACCTGTGGCTATGCCTTCTCCTTACTCCTTTCTGCCTCTCGACTGACTGACGCTAGTGCTTCTCCCTGTGGCCCCGCCTGGCATGCTATACCTCTGATTTTTAGGGAACTGTAAGTCACGTAAAACTTTTCTTTCAATGGCATTGACCTCTCTGTGTTGTCACTTAGTCACCTTTATAAATTAAAACCTGGGCACAGGCTAGGCACAGTGGCTCACGCCTGTAATCCCAGCACTTTGGGAGGCCGAGGCAGGCGGATCACCTGAGGTCTGGAGTTTGAAACCAGCCTGGCCAACATGGTGAAACCTCATCTCTACTAAAAATACAAAAATTAGCTGGGTGTGGTGGCGCACACCTGTAGTCGCAGCTACTCCGGAGGCTGAGGCAGGAGAATCACTTAAACCTGGGAGGTGGAGGTTGTACCAAGCGGAGATCGTGGAGACAGAGCAGGCCCCTGTCTCAAAAAAACAAAACAAAACAAAACCCCAAAAAACAAAAAAACCTGGGCAGAAATCAACTCAGAGATTCTGAGCCAGAACTACCTAATTAAGCCATTCCCAATACCTGACCCACAGAAAGTCTGAGATAGTAATCCCAGCCTCCCAAAATGCTGGGATTACAGGCATGAGCCATTGCACAAAGTCAGAATGTAGCAATTCTAAGATACCCTACAGCACATTTATTCTGTTATCTCTGTACTTCACAGATGGGAATCTAAGGCCCAAGGGTGGGGAAGGCACAGCCTAGAATAGTACAGGAGACCAGTGGCAGAGTGGAGATTAGAATCCAGAACTTTGAACTTTCCCTTTCTCCAGGCTGTGAGGAAGGCAGTGTGGATTCCCTTGGACCACCCAAACATTTCCTTTCAGGAGGAGGCGATTCTTGACCCAGTGCTGCTACCAGCTCCCCCTGGGTCAGGAAGCTCTGCCTGCCCAGGATTTCCTGTGTGTGGGAAAGAAACAGGATGAGTAGATAAATCCCCCAAGGCTTTTTTTCCCCAAGTGCGTGAGGTCCTCTCCCTGGTAAGTCTGCAGCAGTTCTAGCCAAGATGACCAACCCATCGACATGTATTTTGTGTGTTTATAAACAGTAATAAAAAGAATGATTGGCAAGGCACAGTGGCTCTCACCTGTGACCTCAGTATTTTGGAAGGCCAAGGTGGGCTGATCGCTTGAGCCCAGGAGTTTGAGACCAGTGTGGGCAACACAGTGAGACCCCATCTCTACAAAAAATTAGCCAGGTATGGTGGCACACGCCTGTAGTCCCAGGTACTTGAAAGGCCGAGATGGGAGGATTGCTTTAGCCCAGGAAGTTGAGGCTTCAGTGAGCCGAGATCACACCACTGCACTCCAGCCTGGACAACAGAGCGAGACCCTGTCTCAAAAAAAAAAAAAAAAAAAAAAGAACGATTGCATGTGCATGAAGCACAAGACAGGAGGTAGGGGAGAAGAGTCCACATCACCGTCCCTTGTCCCTGCCCTTGTGGAGCTGCCTTTGTTTGGGTCCTCCCAGAAGCAGGTCTTAAGAGAAGTATTTAAGTTCAAGTAATCTGTCTGGGAGGTGATCCCAGGGAATCCCCTGCAGGGGAGTGGGGAGGTGAGATGGGGAAAGGAAAGCAGCCAATAAATTCAATAAATGAATTGAAAGCACACTTCGATAGGCAACTGGAGTTCAACCCCACTAGGGAAAGCTCAGAGACAGTCATCCCAACCAAGGAGCAAGAGGCAGCTGGAGTATCTAGCCACCAACTTCTCATTCTTCACTGGTTGAGGGATGCTTCTGGAACTCAGCCTTCCCGCTTGCCAGAGGACAGGCCCAAGTGTGCTCCTGAGGTCAGAACAACACAGTCAAGCAGTTACATTCACAGTAAGAAGCCTTTGATGGGTAGAGGTATCATCAGGGGCCTCTGGGCGGTATCTGCTCCAGAGGCTGACCACTAATGAGTTTTCCATCCACAGGAAAAGGCAGAAGGAGGCCCAGGAGACATGCCTTCCCCTCCCTGGGTGGGGTTATGGAGGCCGTGTGGAGTGCATAGTGGGCCTTTTGCCTGTTCAGGCCCCCATCACCCCTTTCTTCTCATTTTGAGGAATCACCTTACCCCACTGTGGTCCACATCGTCCTCTTCAACACTGTACTAGACCACATTTCCCAGCCTCCCTTGCTGTTAGGGGAGCCATGTGACTGATTCCAGCCAATGAAATGTGAGCAGAAGGGACATGTGCTGTTTTCAGACTTGGTCCATAAATACCAACCACTCACTTCCTTTCGCTTTTTCTCTCTTTTTAACTTTTTTGGAGACAGGGTCCCACTCTGTTACCCAGGCTGGAGTGCAGTGGCGTGATCATGGCTCACTGCAGCCTTCACCTCCTGGGCTCAAGTGATCATCCCAGGTTCAAGCAATCCTCCAGCCTCAGCCTCTTGAGTAGCTAGGACAACAGGTATACACCACCACACCTGGCTAATTTTTTTATTCTTTATTTTTTTTGTAGAGACAAGGTCCCACTATGTTTCTTAGGCTGGTCTCGAACTCCTGTGCTCCAGCAATCCTCCTGCCTTGGCCTTCCAAATAGCTGTGATTATAAGTGTGAGCCACTGTGCCTGTCTCGCTTTTTGGAATGTCTTCAATGGTGCTTTGGAGGAAGAAAACATCATGTGAATGACTACACAAATCACTATTGTCAGTTGGGAGTTAGCTCTGAGAGGAAAAGTTTAGGGTGTCTTGAGCACTTTGACTTGAGATCCAGCAGAGGAAGTCATGGGCAAAGGCCCTGAAGCAGGAAGGAGGAGTCTGAAGTGGGCCATGGTGACTGGAGGTTATGAACAAAGCTGAATGGCCTGAGAGGAAGGCACATGATCTTGATGTAAAACTCATAGGTGTGTGTATTAGTCTGTTTTCACGCTGCTGATAAAGACATACCAAGACTGGGAATAAAAAGAGGTTTAATTGGACTTACAGTTCCACATGGCTGGGGAGGCCTCACAATCATGGCGGAAGGCAAAAGGCACTTCATACATGGTGGCGGCAAGAGGGATGAGGAAGAAGCAAAAGCAGAAACCCCTGATAAACCCATCAGATCTCATGAGACTTATTCACTATCACGAGAATAGCATGGGAAAGACCGGCCCCCATGATTCAATTACCTCCCCCTGGGTCCCTCCCACAACACATGGGAATTCTGGGAGATACAATTCAAGTTGAGATTTGGGCGGGGACACAGCCAAACCATATCAGTGTGTGAGGAGTTAGATGGATATGGGCTGGACACTGCCCTGGCACCCTTCTTCCTCTTTCTGGGGACAGAGAGCCAGTTTGAGAAACCAGATTATAACCAGGAGGGGCTGAGCCTAGAAATTCAACAGAATTTGGGCATACATGTGGCTTGCAGAGACATGGAATTCAGTGGTTCCCATGCCTGGAGCCCCCTGCTCTGGTCTATAGTGGCAGAAGGGCTTTTCTGTCTTCCAGACACAGCTCAGTCTCACCTCATTCTCAGGTCATGTGGCCTGAATTTGATGGGTTTTCAAATCATGTGCCCCGACCATCTTGTGTATGGGCTGGGTACCTCTCATCCTACACAAATGACTTTCCAGGTCAGGTGCTGTGGCTCACACCTGTAATCCCAGCACTTTGGGAGGCCGAGACGGGGAGATCACCTAAACTGGGAGTTCAGGATCGGCCTGGCCAACATGGCGAAACCCTGTCTCTACTAAAAGTACAAAAATTTAGCTGGGCATGGTAGTGCAAACCTGTAATTCCAGCTACTTGGGAGGCTAAGGCTATGAGAATCGCATGAAACGGGAGGCAGAGGGGGTTCAAGTGATCACACAGCGAGCCGAGATCGTGCAACTGTACTCCAGCTTGGGCGACAGAGGGAGACTCTGTCTCAAAACAAACAAACAAACAAACAAACAAAACAAATGACTTTCCAACATCAGTGCAATAGGCTCTTCTTGAGGACTAGCCTGGGAGCCTTGCTCCTTGGTGTTGTGAAACCTCAAGTAACTGATTTAATATTGAACTGCTGGGCCAGAGCTGCAAGCCTGACCTCAGGGGCTGCCTTTCTCCTGCCCCACCCCCTCCCCTGGAGCAGTGTCCTCTGGGGAAATGCAGCTGACCCAGCTGCATCCGTGGGAAGGCCTGGCCCCCACACTTCACCTTCTCAGCCCTGCCTCTCGGCCACAGGAAATGACCCTCTTAGCAGCCACGAGCTGTGATCCAGAGGACAATGACAGAGGGACGGAAGCCCTGTTTGTCCCAGCTAACTTGTTCCCTTGGGTGGATGCCAGCTGCTGAAACAAAAAACTGAAGATTCAGTGGAAAACATATTTTTTACAAAACAAACAAACAACCCTGTGGGCTTTAGCCAACTTCTGAGGCTCTGGGGCCGGGGGAGGGGGGGTTGTTTTCTTTACTTGCTTCTGTGTGTGTGTTTAAAACACAGATAAAGCTCAGAGAATCAAATAGCCTAAAGCTTGGAAGAAGGCCAGTGATCCCACCCTAGCAGCAGAGCCCCCCTGTGGTGTCTTTCTTCATGTGGCTGGGCCCCACTTCTCCACACCACTGTTCATCATGTCACTTGGCTCCGGCCACTGCCCCCACCCCACCTCCATTCACCACCCAGAAGTCAGAAAGCTCTGCTCAAACCCACATCAAGTCACCATTCTAGGGCTCTGCAGGCTGCCTGTCTCAGTCTTCAAGTCTCCAGCTCAAATGCCACCTCCTCCAAGGGGCTTCCCTGACCATTCCATATGAAATAGCACCTCTCAGTCTCTCTCCCTCCCATAGCACTTGTAACTCTTACTATATCTGGAATGATCTGCTTTGTTTCCACGTGCCAGGCACGTAGTAGCTACTCAATAAATGTTGGTTGACTGGCAATGTTTCTCAGTGGTTGTTGCATTCAGATGAAAACTGGCTTAGAAAATCCATATTCCATTGTATTTCAACAAACATTATTGGCCACAAACAGTGCTAGGGATCAGAGGCAAATTAGTTGGGATTCGTTCATTCACTCACTCACTCATTCATTCATGAGAAGGGTAGACCCCATGGTAAATGGGGATTCAGCCGGGGGTGCAGAGAACCAGGAAAGCTTTAGGTGGGAGGAGATTGTTGGTGGGTTTCCCCCCATTAAAGTAGGGTTCAGAGGTGTGAGCAAGAAAGTGTTTGGAAAAACAAGAGAACCTTGGGGTGTGGAATTTAATTTATTCCCACTTAGAACCCCCAGGGAGGGCAGAGACCCGATTTTATCTGGGGCTGCAGAGAGGGCACTCTCCATGTGCTTGTTGAAGGAACTGAGGGATGAGGGATGGTCAGGTAGTGTATGAAGTTTATGGCTCTGTTTAAGAGGTTGCTGTGACGTCCCGAATGCCAGGCTATGAAGCCTGGATTTCCATCTATAGGGAACAGAGTCTAATCAAAATAATGATTTTGGTGCTGGGTGTGGTGACTCATGCCTGTAATCCTAACATTTTGGGAGGCTGAGGCGGGAGGATCGCTTGAGCTCAGGAGTTCAAGATCAGCCTGGAGAACATAGTGAGATGGAGTCGCTAATTAAAAAAAAAAAAAATTAGCCAGGCATGGTGGTGCGTGCCTGTAGTCCTAACTACTGGGGAGACTGAGGCAGGATGACCACTTGAGCCTGGGAGGTTGAGGCTGTAAAGAGGTGTGATTGAGCCACTGCACTCCAGCCTGGGTGACAAAGCGAGACCCTGTTTCAAAAAAAAAAACCGGCTGCCACGCACGGTGGCTTACACCTGTAATCTTAGTACTTTGGGAGGTCGAGGCAGGTGGATCACCTGAGTTCAGGAGTTCAAGACCAGCCTGGGCAACACAGTGAAACCCTGTCTCTACTAAAAATACAAAAATTGGCTGGGCGTGGTGGTGTGTCCCTGTAGTCCCAGCTACTTGGGAGGCTGAGGTAGGAGAATCACTTGAACCTGGGAGGTGGAGGTTGCAGTGAGCCGAGATTGTGCCCCTCACTCCAGCCTGGGGGACAGAGCAAGACTCCGTCTCAAAAATAATAATAATTATAAAATAATAATGATTTGCAAAGCCTGTTTGAAGTGCCTGAATGTCACTGATTCCTGAACTCCAGTTCTCTAGCTACATCAGAGTATCCAAACCCCATCCTAGAAGAGTCTGATTCACCGTAAGTTGGAGTCGGGGCCTGGCCATCTGCCATTTTCACACACTTGCCAGATGTCGTTGCTATTCACTAGGTTTGGTGACCACTGAGGCTCAGAGAGGTGAAGGCACTTGCCCAAAGTCTGTAGGTGGTGGGGGAGGGGGCGGAGGCTGGTGTTTGAACCTGGTTGGCCTGGCCCTCCACATTCACCAGCTCCACTTCGGCCTCCCGCTGGACTGGCTCCTTTCTCCATGTTATTTTCCCCTGGATGCAGGAATCTGGGCTGTGGCTGAGCCTGCCCGCCCTGTCCTCTCTTCCCATCCCCGCCCCCAGCCTCAAAGGTCAGGTACCTCCCAGCCTCCCTCGGTCGTGTCCATTTATGGCTCTGTTGTTCCAAAATGTGGCCAAATTTATAAACTCCCCTTTCCTGGAGACACGAAACAATTTGTGCAGAGTGCAGTGCGGGGGCAGAGCTGGGAGCTTCATCTAAGACCTGGACTTCAGCCCAGGCCCAATGAGCTCTGGCGTTGAACAGGCTCCAGTTCCTCCCTGGGCCTCAGTCTCCTCACCTGCAGAGTAAATATACTGGACTAGATCATTCCGTAAGTACTTCCTAAGTCTAGACGCAGCCACACGTTTTTACTTCTTAAAAATACCAATTCCCTAAATCCGTGGGCTCAATAATTACAAAAGAAGGTGCTGGGGGATGGAGTCTCTACTGCTATCTTTTGCATTTTTTTCTTTTCTTAATTTTATTATTATTATTTTTTAAGAGACAAGGTTTCACCATGTTGTCCCGGCTGGTCTTGAACTCCTGGACTCCAGTGATCTGTCCATCTTGGCCTCCAGAGTATTGGGATTACAGGCATGAGCCACGGCACCCAGCCTCTTTTTCTTTTTTCGGGCTTGATTTTTTTTTTTTAAATTAAAAAAATTACCCAAAGAATTAACTTACACGGTAAAGTAGAAGTCCCCCTTTCCAGCCACCCCTTCCTGCTCCCTTTCCCAAAAGTATGGGGTAGAGCTTTCAAGACAGGTTTCTCTGCATTTATTGATATATGTACTCATGTTCCTATGGAGGTTTTTATTTTTTACATAAAAAGGAATTACGGTATATTTTGTTTGGCATTCTACTTTTTTTCACTTAACGTCTTATTCTTTTTCCCACATCAATCTCTTTTTTTACTTTTTTTTTCTTCTGGGATGGAGTCTTTCTTTGTCACGCAGGCTGGAGTGCAGCGACACGGACTCAGCTCACTGCACCCTCCACCTCCTGGGTTCAAGCGATTCTCCTGCCTCACTCTCCCAAGTAGCTAAGATTACAGGCAGGTGCCACCACGCCCAGCTAATTTTTGTATTTTTTAGTAGAGATGGGGGTTTCACCATGTTGGCCAGGCTGGTCTCAAACTCCTGATCTCAAGTGATCTGCCCGCCTCAGCCTCTCAAAGTGCGGGGATTATAGGCGTGAGCCACCACATAGAGTCTCAATCTCCTTTTTACAAAACTGTTTTGGCTGGGCACAGAGGCTCACGCTTGTAATCCCAGCACTTTGGGAGGCCTAGGTGGGTGGATCGCCTGAGCTCAGGAGTTCCAGACAAGCCTGGGCAACATGGTGAAACCCTGTCACTGCAAAAAATACAAAAATTAGCCGGGTGTGGTGGCGCACACGTGTGGTCCCAGTTACTCGGGAGGCTGAGGTGGGAGGTTCAATTGAGCCTGGGAAGTGGAGGTTGCAATGGGCCTAGATACTGCCACTGCATTACCACCTGGGTGAGAGAGTGAGAACCCATCTCAAAAAACAATAACAACAACAACAACAACAAAAAAACTGTTTCACTGAGGCATCATTAATATAATATGTAGTTCACTCATTGTGAGTACATGGTTCAGTGATTTTTTTTAGTAAGTGTATAAAGTTGTGCAACCACTACCACCATCGAGTTTTAGGACATTCAGAGCATTTCCAACCCCCTAACAAATGACCATTTTCGAGTCAATTCCCACTCCCACCCCAGCCCCAGGCACCCCAATCTACTTTCTGTCTATATGGATTTGCCTTTTCTGGACTTTTTTTTTTTTTTTGAGATGGAGTTTAGCTCTTGCCACCCAGGCTGGAGAGCAATGGCATGATCTCAGCTCACTGCAGCTTCCGCCTCCTGGGTTTAAGCGATTCTCCTGCCTCAGCCTCCTGAGTAGCTGGGATTACAGTGCCCGCCATCACGCCTGACTAATTTTTGTATTTTTAATAGAGACAGAGTTTCACCATGTTGGCCAGGCTGGCCTTGAACTCTTGACCTCAGGTGATCCGCTGCCTTGGCCTCTGAAAGTGCTGGGATTATAGGCGTGAGCCACCGCACCCCACCAAGAAATTTGACATAAATGGAATAGTGGCTGGGCGCGGTGGCTCACGCCTATAATCCCAGTACTTTGGGAGGCCGAGGTGGGTCTCCCCCTTGAGGGGCAGGAGTTCCCCCTTGAGGTCAGGAGTTCAAGACCATCCTGGCCAACATGGTGAAACCCTGTCTGTATTAAAAATACAAAAAAAGAAAAAAAAAGTGCAGGGAGCAGTGGCTCATGCCTGTAATCTCAACACTTTGGAAGGCCGAGGCAGGTGGATGACCTGAGGTCAGGAGTTCGAAACCAGCCTGGCCAACATGGAGAAACCTCATCTCTACTAAAACACACACACACACACACACACACACACACACACACAAAATTAGCCAGGCATGGTGGCACACACCTGTAATCCCAGCTACTCGGGAGGCTGAGACAGGAGAATCACTTGAACCCAGGAGGCGGAGGTTGCGGTAAGCCGAGATCGTGCCATTGCACCCCAGCCTGGGCAACAAGAGCGAAACTCCGTCTAAAAAAAAAAAAAAAGAAAAAAAAAGAAAAAAATTAGCCAGGTGTGGTGGCACATGCCTGTAATCCCAGCTACTCAGGAGGCTGAGGCAGGAGAATTGCTTGAACACGGGAGGCAGAGGTTGCGGTGAGCCAAGATCAAGCCACTGCACTGCAGCCTGAGCCACGGAGCGAGACTCCATCTCAAAAAAAAAAAAAAAAAGTGTAATCCCCAGTGTTGGAGGTGGGGCCTGGTGGGAGGTGCTGTTTGGCATGGCTTAGTCCCAACCCCTTGGTGATGAGTTCATGTGAGATCTGCTTGCTTAAAAGTGTGTGGCACTTCCTCCCCCATCTCTTTTGCTCACTCTCTTGCCATGTGGCATGCCTGCTCTCACTTTGCTTTCTGCCATCATTGTAAGTTCCTGAGACCTCACCAGAAGCTAAGCAGATGTTGGTGCCATGCTGTACAGCCTGCAGAACTGTGAGCCGATTAAACCTCTTTTCTTTATAAATTACCCAGTCTCAGTTATTCCTTTATAATAATGTAAAAACAAAACAAAACCCAGCCTAATGTAGTGGCTCACCCAAGAGAGACATTCATTTCTCTCTCTCATATAAAGGAAGTCCAGAGCTGAGCAGTGAGCTGTTCAGGGCTGGTATGATAGCTTCATGGAGTTGTTAGGGAGCTAGTTCCTAGCTCTTCCAACCTTAGGCTATGGCCCTAGTCCTCATGATCCAATGCAGCAGCCAGGGATCCAGCCATCACATCTATATTCAGAGAGCAGGATGGAAGAAGATAAGACCAAGGGGGCAAATAGTATGAACCAGCCCTTATAAGAGGCTTTCTCCAACGGTCACCCAACAGTTCCACGTACATCTCCTTGACCAGAACTTTATGAAGTGGCTACACTAGTGGCAAGAGAGCAGGGAACAAATATTGGGCAGACAAGGAACAACTTTTTCTGTTCTTTCCAGCCCCTAGCCAACCACTGTTCTGGCTCCTCTCACCATAGATTCATCTTGTCTGTCCTAGAACTTTATACAAATGCCACCACATAGAAAATTCTCTTGTATCTGGCTTATTTCAACATTATGTTCAAGAATTCTTGAAGTTTTTTTTTTTTCACCATCCGGAAGGAGACATTCATCAACATTCAGTCTTTAACTTTTATTCCATGGAGTCACTCATTCATATTTCTTGAGCCCCCTACTGTGTGCTGGCAGCTGGCCAAACACAGCCACCTATGTCAAAAGACCAAGTGTCCCAGGGTGTCCTCTGACCCAAATCTATTTTGGCTCCACATAAGAATTGTGTCAGCCCTACTTTAAACATCCCTCAGCATCAGGGAGAATCTCTGGTAAACAGAGGCTGAGCAGGCCTGTGGGGAGGAACTCAGGCTCAGGTGAACACAGTTAGGAACCTAGTAGGTCCTTAATAAATAATGGCTAGAAGGTTGGGCGTGGTAGATCACACTTGTAATCTCAACCCTCTGGGAGGTGAAGTGGGAAGATTGCTTGAGACCATGAGTTCAAGACCAGCCTGGGCAACATAGTGAGACCCACCCCCTCCCATCTCTACAAAAAATAAAAATTAGCGGGGTATGGTGGTGCACCTGTTGTCCTAGGTACTCAGGAGGCTGAGGTGGGAGGATCATTTGAGCCCAGGAGTTTGAAGCTGCAGTGAGCTGTGATGGCACCACTGTGCTCTAGCCTGGGTGACAGAGTGAGACCCTGTCTCAAAAAAAAGAAAAATAAATAAATAAATAAATAAATAATTAGTGGCTACAACTATTTCCTTGGCACAGGTGCACTGTAAGGCGCAGTACTGTTCTATTTTCTAACCCTTCACTACCCTATAAGGTAGGCATCACGACAGTCTACATTTTGCTAATGAGAAAAGGATGCTCAGAGAGGTTGGATAACTTGCCCACGGTTACACAGCTTGTGAGTTGCTGAATTGGGATTCAAATCCAGTTCCATCAAGTATCAAGTCCAGGCTTTCACCCTTCTGCTTTGGGGAATCAGCTTCTGCCTCCTGGCCCTTCCTTTAAGCCTAGACTCACTCCATGCAGAGCCCAGGATCCCTATGGACAAAGGCTGCGCACTTGGCTTTGTTGTGTTTCTTGTCTTTCTCCCACTTTGGGGGTCCATCCCGGATATTTTCCTGGCTTTGGATCTTGTCTGTTTCAGCTTAAAATGAGACATCTGGGGGAAAGGCGTATCTTACCATCAGCCCCCTGCACTGCTTAGCCTTGAGTTCTGGACGGTCTCACCACCCTTCGCCCCCCTCCATCCTGTTCCCTCGGAACTGTCGACCTTGGGGCTCTCCTGGGCCCTCACTGCAGCTTCCGTCCGGTGATCCCAAACAGCAGCATTTTTCTAAACATTTTTCTAAGCAATGAGCATGAGATTTCACATCTGGGCCAGTTGTTACTGACGCCCTGAGTCACCCAGCTCTCCTGCAAGTGAACGAGCCTTTCAGTTTAACTGCTGGCTTGTAAAAGGCCCATGCATGCCTCTGTTTTTCCAAATATGTAAAAATCCATTAGAGAGGGGGAGAATGTGGTTCAAAGAAAAAGTTAAGTTTTCTCCATGGGAACAAAAGTTTTCCAGGGAGGAAAATGTGTAAATCCTACAATATAACTGAGTGGCTTTCAAAAAGAGTTTTTCCAGAGATGAACCCTGTTGCAGAGGGTCCTTAAGTTGAAGGTCAATGTACAAAATGGTCAAAGTGGAGCTTACGGGATGGAAGGAGGAGGGGTAGAGGTTGCCCAGTGATGTAGCTTCCCTCTTGTTCCCTCACTAACCACTTCTCTAGGAAACCTGCCATTGGGTGTGGAACACAGTTTGAGAACCCCTGAAAAAGCCCTGGCCCAGGAGTTCAAACCCTGGCCCTGAGTCTTAGAACCATCTTTTGCTGCTGTGTAACTCCAGGAAAATTAGTAGCCTTCTCTGGGCCTCACTTGTCCCATCTGGGAAATGTCATGGTTGGATTAGACATTTTCTAAACTTCTTTCAAGCCTAAGATTCAATCTTACTGAGGAAAATTCCATCTGAAGTTGGCAACTGTTTGAAAAGTAGACTTTTTGAAAAAAGAAACAAGAGTTCTCTTGTTTGAGGCAATCTAGTAACAAACCAACTGCTAAGAAAGTGTTTTCCAAATAGAGGTGCTGTGTGTCTCCTTGCACGAATGGATAGAAAATGACCAACTTCATTATTAGAAAGTAGGTTAAAGATATTCCCTGCTCTCTCATCTGTGTGATTAATTGGTCAGTAATCCTTCCTTCATGAAAAGTACCAAGTAATGAAAAATCAAACTGAACATTAATAGAGACATTTACTGATCAGTAATGTAGACAGTTTTGTTTAAAATATCAGGCCTGGTGTGGTGGCTCAACGCATAGCATTCCAGCACTTTCGGAGGGTGAGGCAGGAGGATCGCTTGAGGCCAGGGGTTTGAGACCAGCCTGGGCAACATAGCGAGACCTCATCTCTCTCTAAAAAAACTAGCTGGGCATGGTACCTATAGTCCCAGCTACTTGGGAGGCTGAAGTGGAAGGATTGCTTGAGCCCAGGAGTTTGAGGCTACAGTAAGCTATGACTGAGGCACTGTACTCCAGCCTGGGCCACAGAGCAAGATCCCATCTCTTAAAAAACACACATCAAACATACACATATAGCTAGAATGACAAACTGTCCTGCTTTATGTGACTGAGGGGCTTCCTGGGATGCAGGACTTTCTGTGCTAAAACCGGGAAGGACCCAGGCAAATTGGGATGAATTTGTCACCCTACATATAGCACTTACTATGCTCTCAACACTGTTCCAAACATTATTCACATACTCTAATTTTATTTTTTAATTTTAATTTATTATTATTATTATTTTTGAGACAGAGTCTCGCTCTGTCACTAAGGCTGGAGTGCAGTGGCACGATCTCAGCTCACTGCAACCTTCACCTCCTGGGTCTAAGCAATTCTCCTGCCTCAGCCTCCCGAGTAGCTGGGATTAGAGGAATGTGCCACCACGCCTGGCTAATTTTGTATTTTTAGTAGAGATGGGGTTTCACCATGTTGACCAGGCTGGTCTCGAACTTCTGGCTTCAGGTGATCTGCCCACCTCGGCCTCCCAAAGTGTTAGGATTACAGGCATGAGCCATTGCGCCTGGTCTTATTATTATTATTATTTTTAGAGACAGGGTCTTGTGTCACCCAGGTTGGGGTGCAGTCACACGATCATGGCTCACTGCAGCCTCCAACTCCTGGGCTCCAGTGAACCTCCTGTCTGAGCCTCCCAAAGCACCAGGATTACAGGTGTGAGCCATGGCACCTGGCCAACTAACTTTTTAAATCTGCATCACAACCCTATGAAGAGGGTACTATTATTATCTCCATCTCACAGATCCTCAGGGGAAACAGGCTCAGAGAGGGTTAGTAAACATCCAAGGCCACACAGCTGGTTGTAGGCAGATCCAGGATGAAAACCCACCCTGTCTTGCTCTGAAGCTGGGCTAGTAACTGCTATACCACATTGTCTTGCTCCTAAATTGTGTCTTTGGTGAATCACAGAGCCATGGCAAGTCTGTGACCAAGGCCAGCTGGACGCTCAAGGAGACCTGAACCTGGCTTTCTGTGTGACATTGCGGAACCCCCAACTCCTCTGGGAGCTTCCTTTCAGCTCAGTGCAATGAAGGGGCTGGTCTGGAACAACAGTTTGTCCGGTTTGTTTAAGCGGTAGAACTTGTCAGACAATTTTGCTGGGACCTCAATATATAAAACAGACCATAGTCCTAAAGTTTACATCTTGAGCGTTGAGCTAAAAATTCTTCCTGGCAAGCGGAATTCTTGAAACTCTGCCCCATCGCCTGAGGCTTCCAGAAGCAGAATATAAAAACTTGTGGTTTAATTGCTCTCTAAGGACCTTTCCAGCTTTAAAATTAAATCCAACACGTAATTCAAACATTTCATTCGTTCATGCAGCAAAAATGTTTGAGCTTGAGCCACGTACGATTTGCTAGGCGCCGGTCCAGGCGCTGGGGCATCAGAGACGATCTAGACCAGGGTTACTTTCACTGTGGCACTGTTGTTATTCAAGGCTGGATAATTCTTTGTGGTGTTCTGTGCATTGCAGGATGTTTCGTGGCATTTCTGGTCTCTACTCGCTAGATGCCAGTAGCAGTGCCCGGGTGTGTCAGCCCGAAGTGTCTCCAGACACTGCCAAATGCCCCCTGGGGGTAAAGATCAAACCTGCTTAAGAAACACTGAGCTAGACTCATAAAGATCTCTCGTCTCATCAGTCAGCCTATGTTCCCTGAGGAGAAACAGAACATAAATACATTGGGGAAAAAAAAAAGAAATTATTAGATAATGATACACATGTGATAAAAATAAAATGGGATGATGAGAAAGGGTGTCACTGGGGGGCCCCTTCACTTTCTTCAGGCAGCAAAGCCTGAGAAGCTGGATGTAGCTTGGCTAGTTTAAGGAACAGAATGAAGGCCACTGTGGTAGGAGCATGGATAACGAGAAGCAGAGTAGGAAGAGGTGAATTGGGCGGTGTGGAAGAAAGGTAGGAAGGGGAGGATCAGATTAACTGAGGGCTTCATGGACCAGAGATGGGAGGTTGAATTTTATTTATTTATTTTTATTTATTTATTTTTTGAGACAAGGACTTGCAGTGGCACCATCATAGCTCACTGCAGCCTCAACCTCCGAGGCTCAAGTGATCCTCCTGCTTCAGCCTCCCGAGTAGTTGGGATTACAGGTTCACGCCTCCAAACCTGGCTAATTTTTTATTTTTTTGTAGAAACAGGGTCTTACTATGTTGCTTAGGCTGGTCTCAAACTCCTAGGCTCTAGCGATCCTCCCACCTCAACCTCCCAAAGTGTTGGGATTAGAGGTGTGACCCACCACACTTGGCCTGGAATTTTATTTTTAAACATAAGCATCTATTATGTGCTAACTCCTGGGCTAGGTGCCAAGGACACAAATGTGAATAACATAGTTCACCTGTGAGCCCAGAGAGGATAAGGCAATTAGTTCTGTCTGAGGTCAGTCAAGGAGTGCTTTGTGGTGGAGGTGATATTGGAGTTCACCTCGAAGGATGAACAAGAACCCATCACATGGAGAAAAGGGAGCAGCAGAAATTGCCTCGCATGACTCTAGGCAAGTGACTCTAAGTAAGCTGTTAGATTGTTGACTCTCAGGTCCTATCCCCAGTGGTGCTAGGGCCCAGGAGTTTGTATGTTTTGTTTTTTTTTTTTGAGATGGAGCCTCGCTCTGTTGCCCAGGCTGGAGTGCAGTGGCGTGATCTCGACTCACTGCAACCTCTGCTTCCCAGGTTCAAGTGATTCTCCTGCCTCAGCCTCCTGAGTAGCTGGGATTACAGGCGTGTGGTACCACGCCCAGCTAATTTTTGTATTTTTAGTAGAGACAGGGTTTTGCCATATTGGTCAGGCTGGCTCGAACTCCTGCAGGAGTCTGTATTTAACCAACACTGTAATGATTCTAATGCAGATAGAGGGACCTCACTTTCAGAATAGTGCTCATTGGCTTTTAAGCTACTTGTTTAGTGTTCAGTGATGTAGAAATGTCTTGCCAAGTCTTATTCCACCTGAAAAGCATTCACTGAGGGTCTTTTTCTTTTGCGTGCCAGAACTTGGGGACAGAAGATAAAGGCAGAAGGGCCGGGTGTGGTGGTTCATACCTGTAATCCCAGCACTTTGGGAGGCCGAGGCGGGTGGATCACCTGAGGCCAAGATGGTGAAATCCCATCCCTACTAAAAATTTAAAAAATTAGCCAGGAGTGGTGGCATGTGCCTGTAATCCCAGCTACTCGGGAGGCTGAGGCACAGAATTGCTTAAACCTGGGAGGCAGAGGTTGCAGTGAGCCGAGATCATGCCACTGCACTCCAGCCTGGGTGACAGAGCAAGACTCTGTCTCAAAAAAAAGAAAAAAAAAAAAAAATTAGCTGAGTGTGGTGGTGGCACACACCTGTAATCCCAGCTACTCAGGAGGCTAAGGCAGGAGAATCGCTTGAACCTGGGAGGCGGAGGTTGCAGTAAGCCAAGATTGCACCGCTGAACTCCAGCCTGGGCGACACAACAAGGCCTCGTCTCAAAAAAAGAAAAAAGAAAAAAAAAGGTAAAAAAAAAAAAAAAAAAAAAAAGGCCGGGTGCGGTGGCTCACGCCTGTAATCCCAATACTTTGGGAGGCTGAGGTGGGTGGATCACGAGGTCAGGAGATCGAGACCATCCTGGCTAACACGGCGAAACCCCATCTCTACTAAAAATACAAAATATTAGCCGGGCATGGTGGTGGGTGCCTACAGGCTCCCAGCTGCTCGGGAGGCTGAGGCAGGAGACTGGCATGAACCTGGGAGGTGGAGCTTGCAGTGAGCCGAGATTGCGCCACTGCATTCCAGCCTGGGCGATAGAGCGAGACTCCATCTCAAAAAAAAAAAAAAAAATATATATATATATATATGAGGTGTGGACAGGGGCTTTTTTTTTTTTGAGACGGAGTCTCACTCTGTCACCCAGGCTGGAGTGCAGTGCTGCAATCTCGGCTCACTGCAAGCTCTGCTCCCGGGTTCACGCCATTCTGCTGCCTCAGTCTCCTGAATAGCTGGGACTACAGGCACCTGCCACCACGCCTAGCTAATTTTTTGTATTTTTAGTAGAGATGGGGTTTCACCATGTTAGCCAGGATGGTCTTGATCTCCTGACCTCGTGATCTCGTGATCTGCCCGCCTCGGCCTCCCAAAGTGCTGGGATTACAGGCGTGAGCCACCGGGCCTGGCCAATAGACGGGGCTCTTTCAAGAAAAGGCTGGTGTGAGTCAGGTGCCAGGGATGAGAGTGGGCCTGATTGCTAACTAGGAGCCTGCCTTCTCTGAAATCCAACCCCCTTGCATTTCCCCATTGGTGTCTTTGCAGTTGGGCCCTGGCAGATCTGGAGCTGTATAAGTGGGTAAGCATGTCATTGTGTAAACTTGTAATCATATAGTGTGTGATTATGTCAGTACGTGTAAACAGTAAGTGTGTGACTATGTAAGGAACTAAGCAAGCATGCAACAGGATAACCAGATAAACAAGTAAGCATGTAATTGTGTTACTATGTGAGACTGATGTAAAAGGGACACATGTAAGGAGGTAAGCATGCAGCAAGTAAGCAGGGAAACGTACAAACAGGTGAATATATAAATATGTAAGTGAGTAAGCATACAACCAGGTCAGGGGTATGTAATTGTGTAGGCAGAAATTCTGGTGTTTTTTTTTTTCTTGAGACGAAGTCTTGCTCTGTCGCCCAGGCTAGAGTGCAATGGTGCAATCTCGGCTCACTGCAATCTCCGCCTCCCAGGATCAAGCAATTCTCCTGCCTCAGCCTCCCAAATAGCTGGGATTATAGGCGCCCGCCACTATGCCTGGCTACTTTTTGTATTTTTAGTTGAGACGGGGGTTTTTCCATGTTGGCCAGGCTGGTCTTGAACTCCTGACCTCAGGTGATCCACCCGCCTTGGCCTCCCAAAGTGCTGGGATTACAGGCGTGAGCCACCGCACCTGGACAGAAATTCTGTAAATGAGTATACATGTAAGCAGGCAATCACATAAGTGGTAAGTGTGCAAGACGTGTGTGTGAGCAGGTGATCACATAAGCGGGTCAGCGTATAAGCAGGTAAGTGTGCAAGCATGTGAGCATTTGGCCTGCTGCTTGAGGTGAGACATGCAGCTTCCACAGGCTGCACTAATGAGTACCTAGGCTGCTTTCAGAATTTTAACCCAGTTATCATCTCAGCTTGCAATATGGTGAAGTGACCACATCCAAAACGCATTCTAGAGTGTTCTCAGCACCACATGGCCTTAGATCATTTGGGAGTTTATTTCTACTCACGCCATTGTCAGACAGGGCATACCAAGCTTCATTGTCCTATAGGGCCGGTTTCCCAAGGTGGTCTTGAATGTTCACACAGTGATTTTCAAGAATAAACATTTTTTCCTATCAATCATTCCATGTGTCTTAGATGAAAATTTAAAACTGACCCTCCAAACTCATAATTTCATTGTGGCCATCATTTATTAGGATGAGTTAAATTGCTAATATGTGTTTGTTTGTTCGGTTTTGAGACAGAGTCTGGCTCTGTCACCCAGTCTGGAGTGCAGCGGTATGATCTCGGCTCACCACAACCTCCGCCTCCCGGGTTCAAGTGATTCTCCTGCCTCAGCCTCCTGAGTAGCTGGGATTACAGGTGTGCATCACCATGCCCGGCTAATTTTTGTATTTTTAGTAGAGATGGGGTTTCACCATGTTGGCCAGGCTGATCTCGAACTCCTGACCTCGGGTGATTGCCCGCCTTGGCCTCCC
This sequence comes from Homo sapiens, assembly GCF_000001405.40. Classification (NCBI taxonomy): domain Eukaryota; kingdom Metazoa; phylum Chordata; class Mammalia; order Primates; family Hominidae; genus Homo; species Homo sapiens. Next base: position 31,032,606 of record NC_000022.11, on the reverse strand, counting down.
AAAGTGCTGGGATTGCAGGTGTGAACCACCGCGCCCAGTTAATGTATGTACTTGTAAAAGGGAGTTGAGGCCGGGCAAGGTGACTCATGCCTGTAAGGAGTGAGCCAAGATGGCACCACTGCATTCCAGCCTGGGCGACGGAACCAGACTTCATCTCAAAAAAAAAAGTGGGTTGATCCCCACTCCACAGCTGGGGCCCCCTGGGCAACCTGATTTGCTGGCAGCAGTGAAGCTTGGGCCATGGCAGCCTCCATTCCACAACCAGGCACTGACATGTGGTCCCATCCAACTGCAGTGGCAACAGCAGCAAATTCCCTTGTTTCCTTGCTCTCCACCCAGTAGCACAGGGAAAGCCAGGCCCAGTGGCTTCTGTCTGTCCCCACCCCACCAGAAGGTCCTCAGCAGCTGACACAGGACAGCACCTCTTCCCCTGCATATGGCACCAACAGGGCTTGAGCGGGAGCCTCAGCATCACCAGAAGAATGAAGCAGATCAGGGTAGCATTGCGAGGGCTCAGAAAACTAGGCTGTCATTAGAACTAAAGCCCATAATAGTAGGCCAGAACTTACACCTAAACAGAGTGACTGTCTGCTAAAATACAAGATTTCAACAGGATCAAGAGTTTCCCAGCCTGATGCAGTGGCTCAGATCTGTAAACCCGGCACTTTGGGAGGCCAAGGTGGGAGCATCCCTTGAGGCCAGGAGTTCAAAACCATCCGGGTCAAACCTTGTCTATAAAAAAATAAAAAAAGAGTTTCCTAACATAACCAAGATGTCCAGACTACAATAACAACAAAAAAAATCCATTATAAAAAGAAAAAGAGAAATTATAATCTGAATGAGAAAAGATAATCAACAAATGCCAATATAAAGATGAATTATGCGTAGGAATTATTGGACAAAGTTTTTAAAGTAGCCATTATAAAAATGCTTCGACAATACAGTTGACTCTTGAACAACATGGAGGTTGGGGTGCTGACTGATTCTGCAGTCAAAAATCAACCTATAACTTTTGATTCCCCAAAAACTTAACTATTAATAGCCTATTATTGACCAGCAGCCTTACCAATAATATAAACAGTTAACACATATTTTGTGTATGTATTATAATACTGTATTTGCACAATAAAGTAAGCTGGAGAAAGAACATGTTATTAAGAAAATCAGGCCAGGTGTGGTGGCTCCCATTTCTAATCCCAGCACTTTGGGAGGCCGAGGCGGGAGGATCACTTGAGGTCAGGAGTTCAAGACCAGCCTGGCCAACAAAGCAAAATCCCATCGCTACTAAAAATACAAAAATTAGCTGGGCGTGGTGGCACACGCCTGTAATCCCAGCTACTTGGGGGCCTGAGGCAGGAGAATCACTTGAATCCAGGAGGTGGAGGCTGCAGTGAGCTGAGACTGCACCACTGCACTCCAGCCTGGACGACAGAGTGAGACTCTATTTAAAAAAAAACCACAAAACTTAGCCAGGTGCAGTGGCATGCACCTGTAGTCCCAGGTACTCAGGAGGCTGAGGCACAAGAATCACTTGAACCCAGGGAGCGGAGGTTGCAGTGAGCTGAGATCATGCCACTGTACACTCCAGCCTGGGCGACAGAGTAAGATTCTGTCTCAAAAGAAAAAAAATGTTATTAAGAAAACCATAAGGAGGAGAAAATATATTTACTCTTCATTAAATGGAAGTGGATCAACATAAAGGTCTTCATCCTTATTGTCATATTTAGTAGGCTGAGGAAGAGGAGGGGGTTGGTCTTGCTATCTCAGTGGTGGCAGAGGTAGACGAGGTAGAGGAGGTGGAAGGGGAGAAAAGTGAGGCAGGCACATTTGGTGTAACTTTTATTGAAAAAAAAAAACTGTGTTTAAGTGGACCCACAGAGTTCAAAGTCATGTTCGAAGGTCAATAGTAATTATAAATTATCTTGAAACAAATGTAAAAGTATAAAATCTCATGCCAGGCATGGTGGCTCATGCCTGTAATCTCAGCACTTTGGGAGGCTGAGGTGGGTGTATCACCTGAGGTCAGGAGTTCAAGACCAGCCTGGCCAACATGGTGAAACCCCATCTCTACTAAAAAAAGCCAGGCATGGTGGCACATGCCTGTCATCTCAGCCACTTAGGAGGCTGAGGCAGGAGAGTCACTTGAACCTGGGAGGTGGAGGCTGCAGTGAGCTGAGATTGGGCCACTGCACTCCAGCCTGGATGACAGAGCTAGACACTGTCTCAAAAAAAAGAAAGAAAAAGAAAATATCAGCAAAGAAATAGATGTTATTTAAAAAAAAAAAAAAGAGCCAGATAGAATTTATAGATTGAAAAAAATACAATAACCAAAATAAAAACCTTGCTTGATAAACACAATAGTGGAGCTGAGATGACAGAGAATATCATTAGTGAACCTGAAGACAGATCAATAGAATTTAGTCAATCTAAACAACAGAGGGTAAAAAAGACTGAAAAAAAATTGAATAGCGTTATGGATCTGTTGGATAATAACAAAGGAAATAACGTTTGTATCGTTGGATTGCCCGAATGGAGGACAAAAAGCATGGAACTAAAATAGTATTCGAAGTAATAGTGGTTGAAAACTTCCCAGTCTGGCAAGAGACATAAACAGATACATACAAAAAGCTGAATAAACCTCAAATAGGATAAACTCAAAGAAATCCACATCAAGATACATCATAATTAAACTTTTGAAAACCAAAGACCGGCTGGGCGTGGTGGCTCACGCCTGTAATCCCAGCACTTTGGGAGGCTGAGGCGGGTGGATCACCTGAGGTCAGGATTTCGAGAGCAGCCTGACCAACATGGAGAAACCCCATCTCTACTAAAAATACAAAAATTAGCTGGGCATGGTGGTGTGCACCTGTAGTCCCAGCTACTCAGGAGGCTGAGGGAGAATTGCTTGAACCCGGGAGGCGGAGGTTGCAGTGAGCCGAGATCACGCCACTGTACTCCAGCCTGGCGACAGAGCGAGACTCTGTCTATAAAAAAACAAAAAACAAACAAATAAACAAAAAAAAAACAAAGACAAAGAAATATATTAAAAGCAGCCAGAGAGAAATGATACATTGCCTCTAAAGGAACACTAATTTGAATGACAGTAGATTTCTCATCTGAAACCATGGAGACGGGAGGCAAATGGTACAGCATTTCCCAAGTGTTGAAAGAAAAGAACAGTCAGCCCCAAATTTTATAGCCAGTGAAATTATCCTTCAGGAATAATGGAAAAAAATAAAATCATTCTCAGTTAAATAAGAACCAAGATAATTTTTTAACAGAAGACCTGGCATTAAGGAATGGCTAAAGGAAGTTCTCCAATAAGAAAGAAACTAAGAAGAAGGTTAGGGCTTCTAAAAAGGAAAGTACAATGGAGTGGGTAAAAATAGAAGTAAACTATCCTTCAGTTCATGATTTTTTTTTTTTTTTTTTTTGAGATGGAGTCTCACTCTGTCATCAAGCTGGAGTGCAGTGGCGTGATCTCGGCTCACTGCAACCTCTGACTCCCTTGTTCAAGTGATTCTCCTGCCTCAGCCTCCCGAGTAGCTGGGATTACAGGCATGCACCACCGCGCCCAGCTAATTTTTGTATTTTTAGTAGAGATGGAGTTTCACCATGTTGGCCAGGATGGTCTCGATCTCCTGACCTCGTGATCCATCCCCCTCGGCCTCCCAAAGTGCTGGGATTACAGGTGTGAGCCACCGCGTCCGGCCAGTTGGTGATTTTTAATTATATTTTATCACCGAAGCAAAAGCTATCATACCCTTCTGATGTGGTGCACAATGTATGTAGAGGAAATACTTAAGGCAATTATACTTAAAAAATGGGAGCATTAAGAGACCTAATTGGGAAGTACGGTTTCTACACTTCACTCAGATTGGAACTTTGATACCAGTAGGCTATGATGAATTATATAAATATATGGTAATGCCTAGAACAATCACTAAGCAACTATACAATGCAATACACTCAAAAAACATTATAAATATTAGGTTGATGCAAAAGTAATTGTGGTTTTTGCCATTACTTTTTGTTTTTTGAGATGGAGTCTTGCTGTGTTTCCCAGGGTGGAGTGCAGTGGTGCAGTCTTGGCTCACTGCAACCTCTGCCTCTTGGGTTCAAGTGATTCTTGTGCCTCAGCCTCCCGAGTAGCTGGGACTACAGGTGTGTGCCACCATGCCCAGCTGATTTTTTTCTTTTTTGTATTTTTAGTAGAGACAGGGTTTCATCATTTTGGCCAAGATGGTCTCGAACTCCTGACCTCAAGTGATCCACCTGCCTTGGCCTCCCGAAGTGCTGGGATTACAGGCATGAGCCACCCCACCTGGCCAGTTTTTGCCATTACTTTTAATGTAACGGCATTACATTAAAACCAAAACCAATGGCAAAAACCAGCATTGCTTTTGCACCAATGAAATAGATCAAATTGGAACTCTTTTTTTTTTTTTTTTTTTTTTGCCTTCAAGCATCTGTTTAACAAAGCACATCTTGCACCGCCCTTAATCCATTTAACCCTGAGTGGACACAGCACATGTTTCAGAGAGCACAGGGTTGGGGATAAGGTCACAGATCAACAGGATCCCAAGGCAGAAGAATTTTTCTTAGTACAGAACAAAATGAAAAGTCTCCCATGTCTACTTCTATCCACACAGACCCGGCAACCATCCGATTTCTCAATTTTTTCCCCACCCTTCCCGCCTTTCTATTCCACAAAACCGCCATTGTCATCATGGCCCATCCCCAGTGAGCCGCTGGGCTCACCTCCCAGACGGGGTCGTGGCCGGGCAGAGGGGCTCCTCACTTCCCAGTAGGGGCGGCCGGGCAGAAGCGCCCCTCACCTCCCGGATGGGGCGGCTGGCCGGGCGGGGGGCTGACCCCCCCACCTCCCTCCCGGACGGGGCGGCTGGCCGGGCGGGGGGCTGACCCCCCCCACCTCCCTCCCGGACGGGGCGGCTGGCCGGGCAGAGGGGTCCTCACTTCCCAGTAGGGGCGGCCGGGCAGAGGCGCCCTCACCTCCCGGACGGGGCGGCTGGCCAGGCGGGGGGCTGATCCCCCCACCTCCCTCCCGGACGGGGCGGCTGGCCCAGTGGGGGGCTGACCCCCCACCTCCCTCCCGGACTGGGCGGCTGGCCGGGCGGGGGGCTGACCCCCCCACCTCCCTCCCGGACGGGGCGGCTGGCCGGGCAGAGGGGCTCCTCACTTCCCAGTAGGGGCGGCCGGGCAGAGGCGCCCCTCACCTCCCGGACGGGGCGGCCGGCCGGGCGGGGGGCTGACCCCCACCACCTCCCTCCCGGACGGGGCGGCTGGCCGGGCAGGGGGCTGGCCCCCCCTCCCCCCTCCCGGACGGGGCGGCTGGCCGGGCAGAGGGGCTCCTCACTTCCCAGTAGGGGCGGCCGGGCAGAGGAGCCCCTCACCTCCCGGACGGGGCGGCTGGCCGGGCGGGGGGCTGACCCCCCCCCACCTCCCTCCCGGACGGGGTGGCTGCCGGGCGGAGACGCTCCTCACTTCCCAGACGGGGTGGCTGCCGGACGGAGGGGCTCCTCACTTCTCAGACGGGGCGGTTGCCAGGCAGAGGGTTTCCTCACTTCTCAGACGGGGCGGCCGGGCAGAGACGCTCCTCACCTCCCAGACAGGGTTGCGGCCCAGCAGAGGCGCTCCTCACATCCCAGACAGGGCGGCGGGGCAGAGGTGCTCTCCACATCTCAGACGATGGGCGGCCGGGCAGAGACGCTCCTCACTTCCTAGATGGGATGGCGGCGGGGAAGAGGCGCTCCTCACTTCCTAGATGGGATGGCGGCCGGGCAGAGACGCTCCTCACTTTCCAGACTGGGCAGCCAGGCAGAGAGGCTCCTCATATCCCAGACGATGGGGGGCCAGGCAGAGACGCTCCTCACTTCCCAGACGGGGTGGCGGCTGGGCAGAGGCTGCAATCTCGGCACTTTGGGGGGCCAAGGCAGGCGGCTGGGAGGTGGAGGTTGTAGCGAGCCGAGATCACGCCACTGCACTCCAGCCTGGGCACCATTGAGCACTGAGTGAACGAGACTCCGTCTGCAATCCCGGCACCTCGGGAGGCCGAGGCTGGTGGTTAGGAGCTGGAGACCAGCCCGGCCAACACAGCAAAACCCCGTCTCCACCAAAAAAAAAACGAAAACCAGTCAGGCGTGGCGGCGCGCGCCTGCAATCGCAGGCACTCGCAGGCTGAGGCAGGAGAATCAGGCAGGGAGGTTGCAGTGAGCCGAGATGGCAGCAGTACCGTCCAGCTTTGGCTCGGCATCAGAGGGAGACCGTGGAAGGAGACCGTGGAGAGAGAGGGAGACAGAGAGGGAGAGGGAGAGGGAGAGGGAGAGGGAGAGGGAGAGCTCAAATTGGAACTCTAAAAAATGTTTAAATAATCCACACAAAGGCAAGTAAAAAGAAACATAATGATAAACAGAGGGATAAAACAAAAAAACACATAATAGACTGGCAGACTTGAGCCTGACCACATCAATAATTACTTTAAATGTAAGTGGTCTAAATATACCAATTAAAAGACAGATACTGAATGACTGGATAAAAAATTATCCAAATATGGCCGGAGGTGGTGGCTCACACCTGTAATCCCAGCACTTTGGGAGGCCGAGGTGGGCGGATCACGAGGTCAGGAGATCGAGACCATCCTGGCTAACATGGTGAAACCCCATCTCTACTAAAAATACAAAAAATTAGCCGGGTGTGGTGGCGGGCGCCTGTAGTCCCAGCTACTCAGGAGGCTGAGGCAGGAGAATGGCGTGAACCTGGGTTGCAGTGAGCCAAGATGGTGCCACTGCATTCCATCCTGGGCAACAGAGCGAGACTCCGTCTCAAAAAAAAAAAAAAATTATCCAAATATATACTGTGTAAAAGGCAGTTCATTGTAAATGTAATGACATAGCTAGATTGAAAGTAAAAGAATGGGCCGGACACAGTGGCTCACGCCTAAAATCCCAGCACTTTGGGAGGCTGAGGTGGGCCAAAAAAAAATTGGATGAAGAACAGTTGGGGAAATGTACACAATCCAAATTCGAACCTTACTATAAAGCTCTATGTGGTACTGGTGAAAAGCTAGACATAGATCAATGGGACAATATCAAGAGTCCAGAAATAAACCCTTACATTTATGGTCAATTGATTTTTGACAAAGTGTCAAAGCAATTTGATAAGGAAAATAGTTTTTTCAACAAATCCTTCTGAGACAGTTGGGTATCAAAATGCAGAAGGATGAATTTACATTGTTATCTCAAAATATACAGAAAAATGAGCTAAAAATGAATCACAGACATATACTTAAGTACAGCAACTATAACATCTCTAGAAGAAAACACAGCAGAACATTTTTGTGATCTTGGGTTAGTCAAAGTTCTTAGACATGACAACAAAAAAATTATCCATAACAGAAAAAAAAAATGATAAATTGGACTCCAACAAAGTGAAAAACTTTTGTTCTGTAAAATATTTATTTATTTATTTATTTATTTTGAGATGGAGTCTCACTCCCGTCCTGCAGGCTGGAGTGCAGTGGCGCGATCTTGGTTCACTGCAACCTCCACCTCCCGGGTTCAAGTGATTCTCCTTCCTCAGCCTCCTGAGTAGCTGGGACTACAGGCGCATGCCATCACACCCGGCTAAATTTTTTTTTTTTTTTGAGACAGAGTTTTGCGCTTGTTGTCCAGGCTGCACTGGTGTAATCTCGGCTCACCGCAACCTCTGTCTCCCAGGTTCAAACGATTCTCCTGCCTCAGCCTCCCAAGGAGCTGGAATTACAGGCATGAGCCACTGTGCCCGGCCAAGACTCATTTATAAAATGATGAAAAGAAAAACGTGGGAGAAAATATTTTCAAATAATATATTTAATAAGGGACTTGTATCCACAATATACAAGTAAATATTACAACTCATAATTAGAAGACTACCCAATTTTAAAATGGGCTAGACTGGGCATGGTGGTGGGCGCCTGTAATCCCAGCTACTCAGGAAGCTGAAGCAGGAGGCGGAGGTGAAAGAGCGAGACTCTGTCTCAAAAAATAAATAAATAAATAAATAAATAAAGGGCTAGAACCCAACAACATATACAGCATGACCAAGTGGGTTATGTCACAGAATGCCAAGTTTGCTAAGCATCCAAACATCAATTTATACAACACATAATATCAATAGCATAAATTATAAAAACTACACAATCATCTCTATAGATGCAGAAAAAGCATTTGACAACCTCTAACATTATTTCATGACAAAAACACACATGAAGTAGCAATAGAAGGGAGCTCCCTCAAGTGATAAAGGGCATCTATGAAAAACCTACAGCTAACATACTTAATGCAGAAAAGACTGGATGCTTTCCCATGCGATGATTTGAATGTGTCCTCAAAAAGTTCACGTGTTGGAAACAGAATCCCCAGTGTAACAGTATTAAGAGATGGGGCCTTAGCTGGGCATTGTGGTGGATGCCTGTAATCCCATTGTCAGAGGCATTTGGACCAGAGTGACTCCATCTTGAATAAGGGCTGGGTACAATAAGATTGAGACCTACTGGGCTGCATTCCTACAAGGTTAGGATTTCTTTTTTTTTTCTGGAGACCAAGTCTCGCTCTGTCGCCCAGGTTGGAGTGCAATGGCACGATCGCGGCTCACTGCAACCCCCACCTCCCAGGTTCAAGCGATTCTCCTGCCTCAGCCTCCTGAGTAGCTGGGATTACAGGTGCACGCCACCATGCCTGGCTAATTTTTTTGTATTTTTAGTAGAGACAGGGTTTCACCATGTTGGTCAGGCTGGTCTCTAACTCCTGACCTTCTGATCCACCAACCTTGGCCTCCCAAAGTGCTGGGATTACAGGTGTGAGCCATGGCGCCTGGCCAGGAATTCTTAGTCACAGGATGAGATAGGAGGTTGGCACAAGGTACAGGTAACAAAGACCTTGCTGATAAAAGGATGAGGTAAAGAAGCCTGCCAAACCCACCAAAATTAAGACGGCAATGAAAGTGACCTCTGGTTGTTCTCACTGCTCATTATATGCTAATTATAATGTATTAGCATGCTAAAAGACATTCCCACCAGTGCCATGACAACTTACAAATGCCATGGAAATGTCCAGAAGTTACCTTATATAGTCTAAAAGGGGGAGGAACCCTCAGTTCCAGGAATTGTCCACCCCTTTCCTGGAAAACTCATGAATAATCCACCCCTTGTTTAGCATATAATCAAGAAATAGGCTGGGTGTGGTGGCTCATGCCTGTAATCCCAGCACTTTGGGAGGCTGAGGTGGGCAGAGCACTTTAGGTCAGGAGTTCAAGACCAGCCTGGACAAGTCAAAACCCTGTCTCTACTAAAAATACAAAAATTAGCTGGGCATGGTGGTGCACACTTGTAATCTCAGCTACTTGGGTGGCTAAGGCAGGAGAATCACTTGAACCGCAGAGGCTGCAGTGAGCTGAGATCACGTCACTGCACTCCAGCCTGGGCAACAGAGTGAGACTGTCTCAAAATAAATAAATAAATAAATAAATAACTATAAGTCGAATCAGATTGAGCAGCCTATGCCGCTGCTCTGCCTATGGAGTAGCCATTCTTTTATTCCTTTACTTACTTAATAGACTTGCTTTCATTTTACTTTATGGATTCACCTCAAATTCTTTCTTGTGCAAGATCCAAGAACCCTCTCTTGAGGTCTGGATTGGGACCCCTTTCCAGTAACATCAGCTACTCGGGAGGCTGAGGCAGGAGGATCATTTGGGCCTGGAAGGTTGAGGCTGCAGTGAGCCATCATCACACTGCTGCATTCCAGCCTGGGTGACAGAGCGAGATCCCATCTCAAAAACAAAAACAAAAACAAAACAGGGCAGGGGCAGGCACTGTGGCTCACGCCTGTAATCCTAGTGCTTTGGGAGGCTGACGTGGGTGGATGGCTTGAGCTCAGGAGTTTGGGACCAGTCTGGGCAACATAGTGAAACAAAATATACAAAAACAATTAGCTGGGTGTGGTGGCATGGGCCTGTGGTCTCGGCTACTCAGGAGGCTGAGGTGGCAGTATTGCTTGACCCTGGGAGGCTGAGGTTGCAGTGAGCCATGATTGCGCCACTGAACTCCAGCCTGGGCAACAGAGCCAGATCCTGTCTCAGAAAAAAGGAAGGTGGGGCCTTTAAGAGGTGATGGGTAATGCAGGTTCTGCCCTCATGAATGGATTAATGTATTAATGAATTAATTCATGTATTAATGAATTAACAGGATATCATTGGAGGGGATTAGCTATCAGAGTGGGTATGTTATAAAAAGCTAGTTTGGCCCTCTCCCATGAGCCCTCTCACTATGCTGCCTCAGGACTCTGCAGAGTCCCCAACAGCAAGAAGGCCCTCACCAGATGCAACCCTTTGACCTTGGACTTCCCAGTTCCAGAACTATAAGAAATAAATTTCTTTTGTTTATAAATTAACCAGTCTCAGCTCTTCAGTTATAGCAACAGAAAATGGACTAAGATAAACTCGTTACTGAGAAGTGGCATTGTTGCTATAATAAATATCTGAAAATGTGAAAGTAGCTTTGGAACTGGAAAAAGGGTAGAGGCTAGAAGGATTTGAAGGAGCAGGCTAGAAAAAACCTGTATTACCATGAAATGAGCGTTAAGGGTAATTCTGGGAAGGTCTCAGAAGAGGGCAAGAAGACTAAGGAAAGTCTGGAACTTCCTAGAGATTATTTAAATGGTCATGACTAGAATTCTACTAGAAATATAGACAGTAGGGGCTGGGCACGGTGGCTCACGCTTGTAATTCCAGTACTTTGGGAGGCTGAGGCGGGCAGATCACCTGATGTCACGAGTTTGAGACCAGCCTGGCCATTATGGTGAAAACCCGTCTCTACTAAAAACACAAAAATTAGCCAAGTGTAGTGGTGGGCGCCTATAATTCCAGCTACTCAGGAGGCTGAGGCAGGAGAATTGCTTGAACCTGGGAGGCAGAGGTTGCAGTGAGCCGAGATCGCACCACTGCACTCCAGCCTGGGCAACAGAGTAAGACTCCGTCTCAAAAAAAAAAAGAAAAAGAAAAAAAGAAATATGCATGGTAGTCCAGGCACGGTGGCTCACACCTGTAATCCCAGCACTTTGGGAGGCTGAGGCGGGTGGATCACTTGAGGTCAGGAGTTTGAGACCAGCCTGGCCAACATGGTGAAACTCCATCTCTATAAAATTACAAAAAAATTAGCTGAGCGTGGTGGCACACGCCTGTAATCCCAGCTACTTGGGAGGCTGAGACAGGAGAATTGCTTGAACACAGGAGGCAGAGGTTGCAGTGAGCCGAGATCATGCCATTGCACTCTAGCCTGGGCGACAGAGTGAGACTTCATCTCAAAAAAAAAAAGAAAAAAAAATATGGACAGTAAAGGCCATTCTGATGAGGTCTCAGACAGAAAGATAAATAAGGTATTGGAAACTGGAGTAAAGACCATCCTTGTTATAAATTGGCAAGGAACTTGGCTGGATTTTGTCCATGCCAGAGGGCTTTATGGAACTCACAACCTAAGAGCAATGAATTAGGTTATCTGGCAGAAGAAATATCTAAGCAGCAAAGCATTCAGTCTACTTAAAAAAAAAAAAAAAAAGAGAGAGAGAGAGAGAGAGAGACAATGTCTCACTGTGTTGCCCAGGCTGGTCTTGAACTCCTGGACTCAAGCAGTTCTCCTGCCTTGGCCTCCCAAAGTGCTAGGATTACAGACATGAGCCACTGTGCTCGGCCACGCATGGCTCCTTTTATATTGCTTATGTTAAGTTTTGTGAGGGAAAAAAAATTACTTAATGACAGAATTTAAAATCAAAAGGAAAGCAAAGCAGAAAGATTTGGAAAACTCTCAGTGTGAGTGAAAAAGTCATTCAGGAGAGAATACCAAGGGGGTGTCCCAGAGACCTTTTGCTATGGAGATTAGTATGCTAGAAGGCGGCCAGGTGCTAATCATCAGGACAACAGGAGAAAAACCCTGAAGGCATTGCAGAGATCTTCAAGGCTGCCCCTTGCATCACTGGCCTACAGTAGTAAGAGGGTAGAATGGTAGGATGGGCCCGGAGCGCTCTCCATGGGTTTGCAGCCCAGGGATGACTTTGGACTCTTGCTTCCCGCATTCCAGTACAGGATAATCTAACCCCAACTCAAAGGGCCCCAGGCTCAGCTTGACCAGTTGCTCTGGAATACATAAACCACAAAGCTTGGTGGCATCCTTGTAGTGTTAATTCTGCAGGCACACAGAATGCAAGAGCTATGAAGGCATGGCAGCCTCCACCTAGATTTCATTTTTTTTTTTTTTTTAAGACGGAGTCTTGCTGTGTCGCCCAGACTCGAGCGGAGTGCAGTGGCGCGATCTCGGCTCACTGCAATCTCTGCCTCCCGGGTTCAAGCGATTCTCTTATCTCAGCCTCCTGAGTAGCTGGGATTACAGGCATGTGCCATGACGCCCAGCTAATTTTTGTGTTTTTAGTAGAGACGGTGTTTCACCGTGTTGTCCAGGCTGGTCTTGAACTCCTGACCTCAGGCAATCCACCCGCCTCGGCCTCCCAAAATGCTGGGATTACAGACGTGAGCCACTGCACTCGGCCCTCCACCTAGATTCAAAGGATGTATTGGGACAGCGTGAAATTGCAGGCAGAAACCTGCCACAGGGGTGGAGCCACCACAGACAGCCCCAACCAGGGCAATGCTGAGTGGAAATGTGGGCCTGGGGCTGCTACAGAAAGTCCCCACCAGGGCAATGCCTAATGGAACCACGGGAGTAGGAGTGCCATCAAGACCCCAGAACTGTAGTGCTACCAGCGTGCATGCTACTCTTGGAATTGCTGAAGAGTGAGCTGAGCCCAGCAAAGCCATAGGGGCATTCTGCCTGAGGCCTTGCAGGCCTATCACCCACATCGGTGTCCCACCAGCAGGAAGTGGGACATGAAGTCAAGGAAGATTATTCTGGAGCTTTAAGATTTAGTATTGTTTTCTCTATTGGGTTTTGGATTACTCATGGCCAGTTATTCTTTTCCTCTTAATTCTCTCTTTTGGAATGGGAATGTCTGTCTTAAACCTGTCCAACCACTGCATTTTGGAAGAAGGTAATTTGCTTTCTCAGGCTCACAGCTGGAAGAAATTTGCCCCAAGGTGAATTGTGCCCTGAGTTTCATTTATATCTGATTTAGATGAGACTTGGAACTTTGGACTTTTGAGTTGATGCTGAAGTAAGTGAAGACTTTAGGGCTGGCCAGGTGAGGTGGCTCATGCCTACAGTAATCTCAACACTTTGAGAGGCTGAGGTGGGAGGACTGCTGGAGTCCAGGAGTTCAAGACCAGTCAGGACAACATAGCAAGACTTCTTCTTTGCAAAAAATACAAACATTAGTTGGGTATGGTGGCACATGCCAGTAGTTCCATCTACTTGGGGAGCTGTGGTGGGAGGGTCACTTGAACCTGGGAGGTTGAGGCAGCAGCAAGCAGAGATTGCACCACTGCACTCCAGCCTTAGCTATTGGGATAGAAGGAATGTATTTTACATGTGAGAAGGACATGAATCTTGGGAGTTAGGACAAAATGCTACGGTTTTAATGTGTCCCTCAAAAGTTCATGTGCTGGAAAGTAATCCCCACTGTAACACTATTAGGAGGTTGGGCATTTAAAAGGTGATTGAGTAATGAGGGCTCTGCCCTCATGAATGGATTAATCTCAGTTGGCTTTTTTGTAGAAAGTGACTAGCTGATTCTAAATTTCACATGTAATTGCAAATGACTCAGAATAACAAAATAATCTTGAAAAAGAACAAAGTTGGAAGAGTCACACTTCCTGATTTCTAAACATTACTGTGAGAAACGGGAAAGTTCTTCAAAGATTGTAAAAAGTCGCAATTTCTTACTATAAGATTGCTATCCACTGTTAGTATACATATATATGTGTATATATATATGTGTATACATATGTGTATATATATGTGTATATATGTGTATATATATGTGTATATATATGTGTATATATATTTATATGTGTGTATGTGTATATATGTATATATATATGTATATATGTATATATGTATATATATGTATATATGTATATATATGTATATATATGTATATATATGTGTGTGTGTGTGTGTGTATATATATATATATATATATATGTATATATATGTACATATATTCCAAATCAGCTGTCCTAGCTTGCTCCGGCATGCCTGGACAGAACTACACAAGCCCCAGCCCATAGTGCATGCCATTCCTTATTTGGAGATGCTTCCTTAACTATCCCTGCGCAACTTGCTTTTCTTTCTTTGTTCTATTCCCCTTACCTAATTAAGAAAGTTTTATTTATTTATTTATTTATTTATTTATTTATTTATTTATTTTTGAGACGGAGTCTTGCTCTGTCGCCCAGGCTGGAGTTTGGTGGCCCAATCTTGGCTCACTGCAAGCTCTGCCTCCTGGGTTCACACCATTCTCCTGCCTCAGCCTCCCCAGCAGCTGGGAATACAGGCGCACGCTGCCACACCCGACTAATTTTTTGTATTTTTAGTAGAGATGGGGTTTCACCGTGTTAGCCAGGATGGTCTTGATCTCCTGACCTCAGGTGATCCGCCTGCCTCAGCCTCCCAAAGTGCTGGGATTACAGGCATAAGCCACCATGCCCGTGCAAATTAAGAACGTTTTAAACTAATAGCCAATCGGGTAAAGTGTAAAATGTGAGGTCCTATTCCAGCCAATGGAAACTGGACACAGCAGTACGGTAGACACGTCAGGTTATAAGTAACTCTGTCTCCTTTGTTCGGTGTGCTCTCATGGCTGGACAGCTACTGAGTAGCACCCTTTCTGCAGAAACTAAAGCTCGCCTTGCTGAGAGATCATTTGTTCCCACATTAATTCTTTTTTTTGCAACACCAAAAATTTCATTCCCAACATTACAAAGCTATAATAATCAAGACAGTGAAGTCCTGGCATAAGGAAAAACATATAGATCAATGGAATATAACTGAAAGTCCAGGGTGGAAAAAACCCATCTGTCTATGATCAATTGATTTTCAATACGGATGCCAAGGCTACTCCATAGAAAATAATAGTTTTGAACTTGGATTTGGCACTGGATTCTTAGACACAACACTAAAAGCACGAGGAACAAAAGAAAAAAAATAAATTGGACTTAATCCAATTTAAAAACTTTTGTGATTCAAAGGACACTGTTGGCCAGGCATGGCTACTCACGCTTGTAATCTCAGTGCTTGGGGAGGCCAAGGGGGGAGGATTATTTGAGGCCAGGAGTTTGGATCAGCCTGGGCAACATAGCAAGATTTAGTCTCTACGAAAATTAAAACAAAAAATTAGGTTGGGTGCAGTGGCTCACACCTACAATCCTAGCATTCTAGGAGGCCAGGGTGGGCAGATCCCTTGAGCCTAGGAGTTTGAGACCAGCCTAGGCAACATGGTGAAACCCTGTCACAACAAAAAATACACAAATTAGCTGGACGTCGGCTGGGCATGGTGGCTCACACCTGTAATCCCAGCACTTTGGGAGGCTGAGGAGGGTGGATCACTTGAGGTCAGGAGTTCGAGACCAGCCTGGCCAACATGGTGAAACCCCATCTCTAATACAAAAATTAGCCAGGCTTGGTGGCATACACCTGTAGTCACAGCTACCTGGGAGGCTGAAGGACGAGAATCACTTGAACCCAGAAGGCAGAGGTTGCAGTGAGCCAAGAACATGCCATTGCACTCCAGCCTGGGTGACTAAGTGAAACTCAGTCTCAAAACAAAAAACAAAACAAAACAAAAAACCAAATTAGCTGAGGGTGTTGGTGCATGCCTGTAGTCCCAGTTACTCTGGAAGTTGAGGTGGGAGGATCGCTTGAGCCCCGAAGGCTGTAGTGAGCCAAGATCGCACTCCAGCCTAGGTGATAGAGTGAGACCTTGTCTCAAAATAAAAATAAAAATAAAAATAAATAAATAATAAAAAGTTCAATAACTGAATTAAAGAATGGGGAAAGGACTTGAACGGACATTTCTCTAAAGATATACAAATGGTCAGTAAACACATGAAAAAATGCTCAAATTCATTAGTCGTCAGAGGGATGGAAATCAAAACAATGAAACACCACTTCATACTTACTAGAATAAAAAAGTCAAATAATGACCAGGGGTGGTGGGATATAAAATCAGAACCCTTATATGCTGCTGATGGGAACATAATTTATAATAAACAGAAATTTATTTCTCATAGTTCTAGAGGCTAGGAAGTCCAAGTTGAAGGTGCTGGCATCTGGTAAGGGTCTTCTTGCTGCATCATAACATTGGCAGAAGGCATCACATGGTGGAAGTGCAAAGAGAGGGCAAGAGTGAGACAAAAGGGGGCCAAATTCATCCTTTTTTTTTTTTTTTTTGAGATGGAAATTCGCTTTTGTTGCCCAGGCTAGAGTGCAATAGCATGATCTTGGCTCACTGCAACCTCTGCCTCCTGGGTTCAAGTGATTCTCCTGCCTCAGCCTCCCAAATAGCTGGGATTACAGGCATGTTGGCCAGGCTGGTCTTGAACTCCTGAACTCAGGTGATCCACCTGCCTCGGCCTCCCAAAGTGCTAGGATTACAGGTGTGAGCCACTGCGCCCAGTCTGTTGTTTTTAAATCACCTAATCTGTGGTAATTTGTTACATCAGCCTTAAGAAATGAGTACAGGGCTCTGTAACTATTATTTCTACTTTTGTGCATGTTTGAAAATTTTCATAATAAAAAGGTCTTTTTTGTTGTTGTTGTTGTTTTTTGAGACAGAGTCTCCCACTGTCACCCAGGCTGGAGTGCAGTGGCGGGATCTCGGCTCACTGCAACCTCCATCTCCCGGATTCATGTGATTCTCCTGCCTCAGCCTCCCGAATAGCTGGGACTACAGGCATGCACCACCACGCCCAGCTAATTTTTGTATTTTTAGTAGAGACGGGATTTCACCATATTGGTGTCGAACTCCTGAACTCATGATCTGCCTGCCTCGGCCTCCCAAAGTGCTGGGATTACAGGCGTGAGGCACCGTGGCCAGCCAATAAAAAGTTTTAAAAACACCTTGCAAGCCAGTTCATTGGCTTCCATGATGGGGAACAGTGGGGAGTGGTGGGGACTGTGGCACATGCTCACAGAGGGCACATGCTCTGTCTAATTGGAGTCTCTCAGCTCCAGTGATTGTGGCACTGTGGAATATGCACCCAGTGATTCCAGAGCTTTCAACTTGCCAAAAGGAACTGGGAATCCATATTTTTACATGAGACCTCCTGAATTTGAAATATTTTTAACTAATTCAAAATCTTAGGAAATTTGTGTGGCTTTTCACAGCAAGGGCATGGCAATATCGTGGCATGTATTAATTTTTTAAATCCCTCATAAAAGCTAGGATGAAGCCTAGGTTTTATGCTAGGTTGGTGTCTCAACTCTGTAGTCCCAGCACTTTGGGAGGCCAAGGTGGGAGGATTGCTTGAGCCCAGGAGTTCAAGACCAGCCTGGGCAACATAATGAGATCCTGTTTCCACAAAACTGAAAAAAAAACAATTACCCAGGTGTGGTGGTGTGTGGCTATAGTTCCAGCTACTTGGGAGGCTAAGATGGGAGGATCGCTTTAACCCAGAGGATGAGGTTTTGGTGAGCTGTGATCACTCTCCTGCACTCCAACCTCGGCAACAGAGTGAGATGCTGTCTCAAAAAAGAACAAAAACACCTAAAGACCTAGGATGACAAAAAAAGTCCCCCACTCCCCCGACAGCCTCTGTTTGGGCCAAATGAGATTTTTGTTGGCTGGATATCACTCAATCAACACTGGGAATATGTGTTTCTTAAGTGCCTATTATATGTCAAGCACTTTGAAGGTATTTTATACGCTGTATTTTACACGCTGTATTTTACTTAATCATCACAAGGCAGATATTATTCATGGGAAATGTTTTACACATGAGGAAACTGAGGCAAGGAGTTTGCATGTGCTGCTCTGTTTTACCATGTCCAATGAGCTGTTTCAAGAGGTCTTCATGGGTCAAAGGAATGAACCCTGGGATCAAATAGACCCGAATTCTGAAGTTAAATACCATATGACTGTGGGCAACATACTGAAACTCTCTGCATCTTGATTTTCTAGAGTGTAAAATGAGGATAATTAAATGAGACAGTGTATTTCATATACTTAGTCTATTTCCTGTAAATGCAACTAGGAAGTAGTATGTGCAAGCTATCATTATTGTTATCGTAAAATACTACTGCTGGGTTCAAGAGTTTGTTTCTTTAACCTCTCCCTAACACATTCAAAATTACTGATTACAAAAAGCCAACCAACATTAAATTTTCTTGGAAATCCCAATGTGAAGGGATCTTTTGGTTTTCTTTCAAAGCAAAATGGTTATAACTGTTGTTTTCTCCGTGTAAAAACAGTACACATGCTCGGTAAAATGCCAAGTTGCCGAGCCTTGCTGCAGATCACTTGGTTGCCAGGAACAAGATTCCTTCCTCTCCACCATGTGGTGGGACAGGAACTCTTTGTCCCTCCAGTGATTCCTGGTCTCTTGACAATTTCTTCCTGCCTGCCCAATACATGGCAGCAGATGGCTACTGAGGTTTTTGGTGTTTTTTTGTTTTTGTTTTTTGGGTTTTATTGAGACAGAGTCTCGCTCTGTCGCCTAGGCTGGAGTGCAGTGGTGTGATCTCAGCTCAATGCAACCTTCGCCTCCCACGACCAAGCGATTTTCGTGCCTCAGCCTCCCAAGTAGCTGGGATTACAGGTGTGCACCACCATGCCTGGCTAATTTTTGTATTTTTTAAAATTAATTAATTTTTTTTGAGATGTAGTCTAACTCTGTTGCCCAGTCTGGAGTGCAGTGGCATGATCTTCGTTCACTGCAACCTCCGCCTCCAGGTTCAAGTGATTCTCCTGCCTCAGCCTCCCAAGTAGCTGGGATTACAGGCATCTACCATGACACCCAGCTAATTTTTGTATTTTTAGTAGAGACGGAGTTTCACCATGTTGGCCAGGCTGGTCTCGAACTCCTGATCTCAAGTGATCTGCCTGCCTGGGCCTCCCAAAGTGCTGGGATTACAGGCATGAGCCACTGAGCCCGGCTGCTACTGAGGTTTTCGTTTTCGCCCCAGCTTACTGTCTGGAGCTGACTTTCAAGGGAATAAAGAAGTCCCAGGACAGAATCTGACTGGTTCAGCTGAAATTTGATGTTCACTCCTGGACGAATCAGCTGTAATCAGAGAGGGTCATCTCAACAGGTGGCTCTTGGGCGCTGACTCTCTGAGAATCAGAGGTTTGGCTACCAGTGACTGACGGTCATCTGTTCATGCAGCCAGGTGAGAGTTGCTTGGATGTAGCTGGCATTTCAGACTGATGCCAGAGACAACCACCATGGCCTACTGGGGCACAGTACTGGGAGATGTTGATAATTTTTCTTCATTTGGATATGCACCAGATTGATTAATGGTTATCTCTCAGGATTAGGAATTCAACATAGAAGAGACATAACTTCCTACACTTTAGTTTTATTTAGATTTTTAAAAAAATACGTACTTTATTTTTATTTATTTATTTATTTTGCGATCCTCCCACCTCAGCTGGGACTACAGTGGTGTGCCACCAAACCCGGCTAATTTTTTGTATTTTTTAATACAGATAGGGTCTTACCATGTTGCCCAGGCTGGTCTTGAACTCTTAGGCTCAAGCAATCTGCCCACCTTTGCCTTCCAAAGTGGTGGGTACACAGGCATAGGCCATCATGCCCGGCTAAAATATACTTTATTTTTTTAAGAATTGCTTTAGCTGGGTGCGGTGGCTTATGCCTGTAATCCCAGCACTTTGGGAGGCCAAGATGGGTGGATCATGAGGTCAGGAGATCAAGACCATCCTGGCCAACACGGTGAAACCCTGTCTCTACTAAAAATACAAAAATTAGCTGGGCATAGTGGCACACACCTGCAGTCCCAGCTACTTGGGAGGCTGAGGCAGGAGAATCGCTTGAACCCGGGAGGTGGAGGTTGCAGATGGCACCACTGTACTCCAGCCTGGGTGACAGAGCGAGACTCTGTCTCAAAAAAAAAAAAAAAAAAAAAAAAAAGAATTGCTTTAGGTTTACAGAAAAATTGAGAAGACAGTATGAAGAGTTCCTATATATCCTGCATCCAATTTCCCTATTAACATCTTACATTAGTATAATCCATGTGTTTACAATTAATGAACCAATATTGATAGATTGTTATTTTTTTTTCTTTTTTTTTATTATACCATAAGTTTTAGGGTACATGTGCACATTGTGCAGGTTAGTTACATATGTATACATGTGCCATGCTGGTGCGCTGCACCCACTAACTCGTCATCTAGCATTACGTATATCTCCCGATGCTATCCCTCCCCCCTCCCCCCACCCCACAACAGTCCCCAGAGTGTGATATTCCCCTTCCTGTGTCCATGTGATCTCACTGTTCAATTCCCACCTATGAGTGAGAATATGCGGTGTTTGGTTTTTTGTTCTTGCGATAGTTTACTGAGAATGATGATTTCCAATTTCATCCATGTCCCTACAAAGGACATGAACTTATCATTTTTTATGGCTGCTTAGTATTCCATGGTGTATATGTGCCACATTTTCTTAATCCAGTCTATCATTGTTGGACATTTGGGTTGGTTCCAAGTCTTTGCTATTGTGAATAATGCCGCAATAAACATACGTGTGCATGTGTCTTTATAGCAGCGTGATTTATAGTCCTTTGGGTATATACCCAGTAATGGGATGGCTGGGTCAAATGGTATTTCCAGTTCTAGATCCCTGAGGAATCGCCACACTGACTTCCACAATGGTTGAACTAGTTTACAGTCCCACCAACAGTGTAAAAGTGTTCCTATTTCTCCACATCCTCTCCAGCACCTGTTGTTTCCTGACTTTTTAATGATTGCCATTCTAACTGGTGTGAGATGGTATCTCATTGTGGTTTTGATTTGCATTTCTCTGATGGCCAGTGATGTTGAGCATTTTTTCATGTGTTTTTTGGCTGTATAAATGTCTTCTTTTGAGAAGTGTCTGTTCATGTCCTTCGCCCACTTTTTGATGGGGTTGTTTTTTTCTTGTAAATTTGTTTGAGTTCATTGTAGATTCTGGATATTAGCCCTTTGTCAGATGAGTAGGTTGCGAAAATTTTCTCCCATTTTGTAGGTTGCCTGCTCAGTCTGATGGTAGTTTCTTTTGCTGTGCAGAAGCTCTTTAGTTTAATTAGATCCCATTTGTCAATTTTGTCTTTTGTTGCCATTGCTTTTGGTGTTTTAGACATGAAGTCCTTGCCCGTGCCTATGTCCTGAATGGTAATGCCTAGGTTTTCTTCTAGGGTTTTTATGGTTTTAGGTCTAACGTTTAAGTCTTTAATCCATCTTGAATTGATTTTTGTATAAGGTGTAAGGAAGGGATCCAGTTTCAGCTTTCTACATATGGCTAGCCAGTTTTCCCAGCACCATTTATTAGATAGGGAATCCTTTCCCCATTGCTTGTTTTTCTCAGGTTTGTCAAAGATCAGATAGTTGTAGATATGTGGCGTTATTTCTGAGGGCTCTGTTCTGTTCCATTGATCTATATCTCTGTTTTGGTACCAGTACCATGCTGTTTTGGTTACTGTAGCCTTGTAGTATAGTTTGAAGTCAGGTAGTGTGATGCCTCCGGCTTTGTTCTTTTGGCTTAGGTTTGACTTGGCGATGCGGGCTCTTTTTTGGTTCCATATGAACTTTAAAGTAGTTTTTTCCAATTCTGTGAAGAAAGTCATTGGTAGCTTGATGGGGATGGCATTGAATCTGTAAATTACTGATAGATTGTTATTAACCGAAGTCCATAGTTTATTGAGATTTTCCTAGTTTACCCAATATCCCTTTTCTGTCTGAGTATTCCATCCAGGATACCACATTACATTTAGTAATCTTTCCTTAGGCTCCCCTTGGCTGTGACAGTTTCTTGTACTTTCCTTGGTTTTGAAAACTTTGACAGTTTTGAGAAGTACTGGTCAAGTTATTTTGTAGGATGCTTGTATTATTAGTCTGTTTTCACACTGCTATAAAGAACTGCTCGAGACCAAGTGACTTAGAAAGGAAAGAGGTTTAATTGACTCACAGCTCAGCATGGCTGGTGAGGTCTCAGGAAACTTACAATCATGGCAGAAGGTGGAGGGGAAGCAAGGTACCTTCTTCACAAGGCAGCAGGAGGGAGAATGAAAGCAGGAGGAACTACCAAACACTTATAAAACCATCGGATCTGGCTGGGCGCAGTGGCTCACGCCTGTAATCCCAGCACTTTGGGAGGCCAAGGCCCATGGATCACCTGAGGTCAGGAGTTCGAGACCAGGCTGACCAGCATGGAGAAACCTCGTCTCTACTAAAAATACATACATAATTAGCCAGGCATGGTGGCGGGTGCCTGTAATCCCAGCCACTTGGGAGGCTGAGGCAGGAGAATCGCTTGAACCTGGAAGGCAGAGGTTGCAGTGAGCCGAGATTGCACCATTGCACTCCAGCTTGGGCAACAAGAGCGAAACTCCATCTCTAAATAAATAAATAAAATAAAAATGAAACCATCAGCCCTTGTGAGAACTCACCACCATGAGAACAGCATGGAGGAAAGTACCCCCATGATTCAGTTACCTCCACGTGGTCTCTCCCTTGACACATGGGGATTATGGGGATTTCAATTCAAGATGAGATTTTGGGTGGGGACACAGCCAAATCCTATCAGTGCTTTACTGTTTGTTTTTTTTTTTTTTTTTTTTTTTTTTGAGACAGAGTCTCACTCAGTCATCTAGGCTAGAGTGCAATGGCGTGATCTCAGCTCACTGCAATCTCTGTCTCCTTGGTTCAAGCAATTCTCCTGCTTCGGCCTCCCGAGTAGCTGGGACTATAGGCGTGTACCACCACACCCAGCTAATTTTTGTATTTTTAGTAGGGATGGTGTTTCACCATGTTGGCCAGGCTGGTCTTGAACTCCTGACCTCAAATGATCCACCCATCTCAGTCTCCCAAATTGCTAGGATTACAGACATGAGCCATTGCACCTGCCAAAGACTAGGTTACTAGGAGGGAGACCATAAGTTTTTCATTTTCATCACATCGTATCAAGCAAACATACTATCATCATGATTTTTGACAGTTGATGTTGGCCTTGATCACCTGGCTGATGTAGTGTTTGCAAGGTTTCTCCATAATGAAGTTACTCCTTCTTCCCTATTTCCATACTGTACACTCTGGAAGAAAGTCACTATGTACAATCTATGCTTAGTGAGTGGAGAGTTATGCTCCCCTTCCTTGAGAGCAGAGTATCTACATACATTATTTGAAATTCTTTTGTGTGTTACTTTCCTAGGGCTGCTGTAACAACTTGGAAGGTGGATTAAAACAACAGAAATTTGGTCGGGCATGGTGGTTGATGCCTGTAATCCCAGCACTTTGGGAGGCCAAGGCCGGGCGGGTCAGCTGACCTGAGGTCAGGAGTTTGAGACCAGCCCGGCCAACATGGTGAAAACCCGCCTCTACTAAAAAATACAAAAAAATAGCCCGGCATGGTGGTGCGTGCCTATAGTCCCAGCTACTCGGGGGGCCGAGACAGGAGAATCACCTGAACCCAGGAGGCGAAGTTGCAATGAGCCGAGACTGCGCCACTGCACTCCAGCCTGGATGACAGAGTAAGACTCCGTCTCAAAAAGAAAACGTAGAAAAACAAACCAACCCCAGAAATTTGTTCTCTCACAGTTCTGGAGGCTAAAAGTCTAAAGTCAAGTTGTCTGCAGGGTTGTGCTCCCTCTGAAGAGTCTAGGAAGGCATGCTTACTTTCCTCTTCCACCTTCTGGTGCCCCCAGGTGTTTCTTGGCTTGTGGCAGCATAACTCAAATCCCTGCCTCCACCTTCACAACATGACCTTCCTCTCTGTGTATCTCTAAGTCCTCTTTTTTTTTTTTTGAGACAGAGTCTCACTCTGTCACCCAGGCTAAAGTGCAGTGACATCATCTCAGCTCACTGCAACATGCAACTCCCAGGTTCAACCAATTCTCAGCCTCCTGAGTAGCTGGGAATACCGGTGTATGCCACCACACCTGGCTAATTTTTTTTTTTTTTTGAGACGGAGTCTTGCTCAGTTGTCCAGGCTGGAGTACAATGGCGCGATCTCGGCTCACTGCAACCTCCGCCTCCCGGGATCAAGCGATTCTCCCACCTCCCCCTTCTGAGTAGCTTGGATTACAGGCACCTGCCATCATGCCCGGCTACTTTGTATATTGTTGTAGAGATGGGGTTTCATCACGTTGGCCCAGCTGGTCTTGAACTCCTGACCTCAGGTGATCCATCTGCCTTGGCCTCCCAAAGTGCTGGGATTACAGGCGTGAGCCACCGCACCCAGCCAATTTTTGTATTTTTAGTAGAGTAGGGGTTTTGCCATATTGGCTGGGGTGGTCTGAAACTCCTGACCTCAGGTGATTCGCCGGCTTCGGCCTCCCAAATTGTTGGGATTACAGGTGTGCGCCACTGCATCTGGGCCTTCTAATTCCTGTTCTTTTTTTTGAGTCAGAGTTTCACCCTTGTTGCCCAGGCTGGAGTGCAATGGTGCGATCTCAGATCACCATAACCTCCGCCTCTTGGGTTCAAGCGATTCTCCTGACTCAGCCTCCCGAGTAGCTGGGATTTTAGGCATGCGCCACCATGCCCGACTAATTTTGTACTTTTAGTAGAGATGGCGTTTCACCATGTTGGTCAGGCTGGTCTTGAACTCCTGACCTCAGTTGATCTGCCTGCCTCAGCCTCCCAAATTGCTGGGATTACAGGCATGAGCCACCACCCACACCCGGCCTCCTCTTCTTATAATGACATGAATCATTGGATTAAGGGCCTACTCCAAGTAGGTATCCAAGTATGATATCTCAAGATCCTTAACTAATTACATCTACAAAAACCCTATTGCCAAATAAGTCACATTCTGAGATTCTGGCAGACATGAATTTTTGTGGGATACTATTTAGCCCACTCTATTCTGCATGGGAGATTTGTCTTTTTCCCCTCATTTAGTAATTTATCCAATCATTTATATCATTATGGATGATATGATTTGGCTGTATCCCTACCCAAATCTCATCTTGAATTGTAGCTCCCATAATCCCCGTGTGTCATGGGATTGAGCTGGTGGGAGGTAACTAAATCATGGGGGCAGGTTTTTCCTGTGCTGTGTTTGTGATAATGAATAAGTCTCACAAGAGCTGATGGTTTTATATTTATTTATTTATTTTGAGACGGAGTCTTGCTCTGTCACCCAGTCTGGAGTGCAGTGGCGCAATCTCGGCTCACTGCAAGCTCTGCCTCCCAGGTTCACGCCATTCTCCTGCCTCAGCCTCCCGAGTAGCTAGGACTACAGGTGTGTGCTATCACACCCAGCTATTTTTTTTTTTTTTTTTTTGTATTTTTAGTAGAGACGAGGTTTCACCATGTTAGCCAGGATGGTCTAGATCTTCTGACCTCGTGATCTGCCCGTCTCGGCCTCCCAAAGTGCTGGGATTACAGGTGTGAGCCACTGCGCCCGGCTGAGCTGATGGTTTTATAAAGAGCAGTTCCCCTGCACATGCTCTCTTGCCTGCAGCGATGTAAGATGTACCTTTCTTCCTCCTTTGTCTTCCATGATTGTGAGGCCTCCCCAGCCACATGGAACTGTGAGTCCATTAAACCTCTTTTTCTTTATAAATTACCTAGTGTCACTGGGCGTGGTGGCTCATGCCTGTAGTCCCAGAACTTTGGGAGGCTGAGGCGGGTATATCACAAGGTCAGGAGTTCGAGACCTGCCTGGCCAACATAGTGAAACCCCGTCTCTACTAAAAATACAAAAATTGGCCGGGTGTGGTGGCTCATGGCTTCAATCCCAGCACTTTAGGAGGCCGAGACAGGCAGATCACCTGAGGTCAGGAGTTTGAGACCGGCCTGACCAACATGGAGAAACCCCGTCTCTATGAAAAATACAAAATTAGCTGGGTGTCGTGGTGCATGCCTGCAATCCTATCTACTCAAGAGGCTGAGGCAGAAGAATCCCTTGAACTCAGGAGGTGCAGGCTGCAGTGAGCTGAGACCATGCTGTCTCCAAAAAAAAAAAGGCTGTCTCCAAAAAAAAAAAAGACTGTCTCAAAAAAAAAAAAAATTACCCAGCCTTGGCTATTTCTTCATAGCAGTATGCGAACAGACTAATACAATGGACTAGTGGGTATTTATTTTTATATTTTGGGTTATAATCCAATATTTATATTATATTTTTACTCAAATTGTTTTTCATCTTTGGCCATTGGGAGCTCTTTCAGTTGGCTCCTATGACACACCTTCATTAACTTTTTTTGAGCACTTCCTTATTTTCTTGTACTACAAGATGCTCTAGGCTCATCTTGTATATTTCCTGCCTGAGTCCTAGAATCACTGATTTCTCCAAAGAGCTCTGATTCTTTTTACTGGTGAATGGCATTAGAAACCAAGATCTGGGCACTAGAACTTCTCATGGTTACTGAGATGTCATTTATTTTAGGTCCTCTCAGCTGGCAGTGCAAAAAATGCATGTGTATTACTTATCTGAGTATATACACATATCTAGAAATATTTCTATCTGTAGCCATCTGTATCTAAATTAAGCTAAACATGAGTTCATACTGAAGAATTCAACTTGAATCCATTACCACATGGTTAATTCTAGCCTTCTCACCTGGATTATCTGTAAACTTCTACTCCAACAGTGAGAAACCTGACTCCCACAATCTGACATCCACTTACTTACTTGTTTCATTTCATTATATATGTAAAGTAGTATCAAAATTAATCTGTAGCCAATAGGTAACAACTTTATCAACTAGAGTACAGTGCTTATGTGCAGTTCCTTTTGCCTTTAGTCTACAGACTTAACTGATTCCAAAAATTTCCTTAGGTCAACACCTAATCCTTTCCTTGGAGTCCTCTTCAGTGAAGTTGTTGCATACATTCATAAAAATTCCTTAAAGAGACAAGGACATGTTCTGTTGGCCAGGATGGAGTGCAGTGGTGCAATCATAGCTCCTTTCAGCCTTGAACTCTTGGGCTCAAGCAACTCTCCCACCTCAACCTCCTGAGTAGCTAGGACGACAACTGCATGCCGCCACTCCTGGCTCTTATCACACTCTGCATTTTTTCCTAGGATCTCCCAACCTCCTAAATAATTTTTTAAAATTTGCATATGCTAAAGTTCACTGTTTGTGCTATACAATTCTGTGGGTTTTGACAAATGTAATAATGAATTTTATCCATCGTTACAGTATTATACAGTTTTACTGCTCTAAAAATCCCCCTTGTTTTACTGTTTATTACTGCCATGGAACCCCTGGCATCCTTTATTTTTTATTTTTATTTTTTTTTGAGATGGAGTCTCACTCTGTCACCTAGGCTTGAGTGCAGTGGCACACTCTTGGCTCGCTGCAACCTCCACCTCCCAGGTACAAGCAATTTTCCTACCTCAGCCACCTTGGTAGCTGGAATTACAGGTGCCTGCCACCACACCTGGCTAATTTTTGCATTTTTAGTAGAGATGGGGTTTTGCCATGTTGGCCAGGCTGTTTTTGAACTCCTGACCTCAGGTGATCCACCTGCCTTGGCCTCCCAAAGTGCTGGAATTACAGGCGTGAGCCAACATGCCTGGCTTCCACTGATTATTATCTCTATAGTTTTGTATTTTCCAGAATATCACATAGTTGGAATCGTAAAATATACAGCCTTTTCACACTGGTCTCTTTCACTTAGTAATAAGTATTTAAGGTTCTTTCATGTCTTTTCATGGCTTGATAGCTAATTTCTTTTCTTTTTCTTTTTTTGAGATAGGCTTTCATTCCTGTCACCCAAGCTGGAGTGCAATGGTGTGATCTCGGCTCACTGCAACCTCTGCCTCCTTGGCTCAAGTGATCCTCCTGCTTCAGCCCCCAAGGAGCTGGGACTAAAGGTGCATGCCATCATGCCTGGCTAACTTTTGTATTTTTTGTAAAGGTGGGGTTTCACCATGTTGCCCAGGGTGGTCTCAAACTTCAGAGCTCAAGTGATTCACCTGCCTTGGCCTCCCAAAGTTCTCCTGGCCTCAAGTGATCTGCCCACCTTGGCCTCCCAAAGTGCTGGGATTACAGGCATGAGCCACCATGTCCAACTCATAGTACAGGTGTGAGCCACCACACCTGGCCACTACCTTCTTTTCTTTTCTTTCTCTTTTTTTTTTTTTTTTTTTTTTGAGACAGAGTCTCACTCTCTTACCCAGGCTGTAGTATAGTGGAGCGATCTTGGCTCACTGCAACCTCTGCATCCTGGGTTCAAGTGATTCTCCTGCTTCACCCTCCCAGGCGTACACTACCACGCCCAGCTAATTTTTTGCAGAGACAGAGTTTCGGCATGTTGGCCAGACTGGTTTCAAATTCCTGACTTCAAGAGATCCCCTGCCTCAGCCTCCCAAAGTGCTGGGATGACAGGTGTTATCCACTGCACCCAGCCTACTAATTTTTTTATATTGCTGAATACTATTTCATTGTATAGATATACCAGTTTGTTTATCCATTTATCTATTCAAGGACATGTTTGTTGCTTCCAGTTTTAGCAATTACAAACAAAGCTACTATTAATATTTATATGCAGGGTTTTGTTTTTTGTTTTTTGTTTTTTTTTGAGACAGAGTCTCGCTCTGTTGCCCAGGCAGGATGGAGTGCCGTGGCGTGATCTCAGCTCACTACAAGCTCTACCTCCTGGGTTCACGTCATTCTCCTGCCTCAGCCTCCCGAGTAGCTGGGACTACAGGCGCCCGCCACTATGCCCGGCTAATTGTTTTGTATTTTTAGTAGAGACGGGGTTTCACTGTGTTAGCCAGGATGGTCTCGATCTCCTGACCTTGTGATCCACCCGCCTTGGCCTCTCAAAGTGCTGGGATTACAGGTGTGAGCCACTGCGCCCGGCCTGTTTTGTTTTTTTTTGAGTATCGCTCTGTTGTTGCACTCAGGCTGGAGTGCAGTGGCTCGATCTCGGCTCAGTGCAACCTTCACCTCCTGTGTCCAAGAGATTCTCCTGCCTCAGCCTCCTGAGTAGCTGGGATTACAGGCGTATGCCGCCATGCCCAGCTAATTTTTTGTATTTTTAGTAGAGACAGGGTCTCACTGTGTTGGCCAGGCTGGTCTCAAATTCCTGGCCTCAAGTGATCTGCCTGCCTCAGCCTCCCAAAGTGCTGGGATTACAGGTGTGAGCCACCAGGTCTGACTCATATGCAGGTTTTTGTGTGAGATGTTGATAATTCTGGGGGACCCTGGATCCTGGTTTTCACTCTTGCTGATTCATATTCTCAGGGGTCATATGAGAAACATGATTCACAGGCTTGCAGTTGTATAGTGGTGGTTCTGAGGTTCACAGGCTTGAAGGATCCTTCTTTTCCTCTCCCAGCCCATGGCTTGGACTGCTCAGCACACTGACACCTTGACTGTCTCTTCTGCAGCCTTTCCCTTGAAGTGCCCCACTCACATCTCACCTAAAGTCCCCCTGCCTGTTCATTCTTCCCCCACGTCCAACTTGGTGAATCCCAACCTGAACTCATTACCTCTCCCCTCAGACCTGCACTTGCTTCTGCTGCTGCTTTTTATTATTGAGACAGGGTCTCACTCTGTCACCAAGGCTGGAGTGCCATGGCACAATCATGGCTCACTGCAACTTCAACCTCCTGGGCTTGGTGATCCTCCCACCTCAGACTCCCGAGCAGCTGGGAGTGCAGGCACACACCACCACTCCCACCTAACTTTTGCATTTTTGGTAGAGACAGGGTTTTGCCAAATTGTCCAGGCTCAAGCAATTCTATCGTCTTGGCCTCCCAAAGTTCTGGATTATAGGCATGAGCCACTGCACCGCTGTGGACCTGGTTCTGTATTCATTGGTTTGGTGAGGGCATGCCTCCTCCATCACCCACGTCCTCCTCCACTTCCCCCTACCTCCAGTTAGTTATCCAGCCTGTGGATTCACCCTGATGCCTCCACATCCTGTGATCCATCACCATCAGTGCTCCTCGGAGGAAATCTTTCTCATCTTCTCCCCGCCCTTTGAGCTTGGGGCTTCAGACAAACCAGGCCATTTCATGCCTCTGCATCTCTGTGTTATGCTAGTCCCTCTTCTAGAGTATACCCTTCCCTTCATTAGCTGTCTGGGAAATTCTTATTCATCTCTTGAAACTCTGCTTGGGTATCTGTAAAACTTTGCTTACTTCTATCTATACTGTTGCTACTCAAAGTGTGGTCTGCAAATAAGTGGCTTTGGCATCACCTGGGAACTGGTAGAAATGCAGAATCTCAGGTTCCACACCAGACCTTCTGAATCTGCATTTTATTTTATTTTATGTTTTGAGATAGAGTTTTGCGCTTATTGCTCAGTCCGGAGTGCAATGGCACCATCGTAGCTAACTGCAACTTCTGCCTCCTGGGTTCAAGCAATTCTCCCGCTTCAGCCTCCCAAGTAGCTGGGATTACAGGCATCCGTCACCACAGCCGGCTAATTTTTGTATTTTTTTTTTTTTTGAGACGGAGTCTTGCTCTGTCGCCCAAGCTGGAGTGCAGTGGCGTGATCTCAGCTCACTGCAAGCTCCGCCTCCTGGGTTCATGCCATTCTCCTGCCTCAGCCTCCTGAGTAGCTGGGACTACAGGTGCCCGTCACCATGCCCGGCTAATTTTTTTGTATTTTTAGTAGAGACGGGGTTTTACTATGTTGGTCAGGCTGGTCTTGAACTCCTGACCTCAGGTGATCTGACTGCCTTGGCCTCCCAAAGTGCTGGGATTACAGGTGTGAGCCACTGCGCCCGGCCTGAATCTGCATTTTAAAAGATCCCCAGGTATTGGATGTGTACATTAACATTCGAGAGGTCTTCTATTGTGTGTTTCCATTGTAACATGAGTTATACTGTTTTGCAGTAATTCATGTTTGTTTTCTCCTCTGGACTGTGAGTTTCTTTAGGTCAGGATCAGGGTTCATGCCCCATTCAGGAGCTAGCTGATGCTGGGGCAACTGGAATGGAGCCCAGATACTTGTTTGACCTTCAGTGTTCTTCAGACCTGGGATCTAGGCCAGTGACAGAGAAATGCTACGGAAGTGAGGTTCTTTTCAAACACTATTTTGCTTTATCTTCACAAAGTTTTTTTTTGTTTTCGTTTTTTGAGACACAATCTCACTCTGTTGCCCAGGTTGAAGTGCAGTGGTACAATCACAACTCACAGCAGCCTTGGCCTCCGGGGCTCAGGTGATCCTCCCACTTTAGCCTCCCAAGTACCTGGAAATACAGGCATGCACCACCATGCCCAGCTAATTTTTGGATTATAGGCTGCTGCACCCAGCCACAAGTATATTGTTAATGCATATCCTTTCTTTTCCAATTTAGGATGAATTTGAATGAGAATAAATGGCAACATGAACAAGAGTTTATGTGTAAGAATGTTCCTAATTATAAAAAATTATAAAAACTTGGCCATGCGTGGTGGCTCACGCCTGCAATCCCAGCACTTTGGGAGGCCACGGTCTGCAGATCACGAGGTCAGAGATCGAGACCATCCTGGCAATGGTGAAACCTCGTCTCTACTAAAAATACAAAAAATTAGCTGGGCGTGGTGGCGGGCGCCTGTAGTCCCAGCTACTCGGGAGGCTGAGGCAGGAGAATGGCGTGAACCCGGGAGGCGGAGCTTTCAGTGAGCCGAATCGCACCACTACACTCCAGCCTGGATAACAGAGCGAGACTCCATCTCAAAAAAAAAAAAAAAAAAAAAATTTATACAAACTTAAGTGTCTAACTATATGGAACCATTAAAAATAGTGTTTTACGAATATATATGTACTTAGAAAGATATATAAATACAGACATTTTTATAATTAAAAAGTTATAAAGTATGTAATAAATTGTACAAATTCAAATATAAAACTGTATGTGAGTACATAGTCAAAGTAACAGCCAGGCGTGGTGGCTCACACCTGTAATCCCAGCACTTTGGGAGGCCGAGGCGAACAGATCACTTGAGGTCGGGAGTTCGAACCTGATCAACATGGGGAAACCCCGTCTCTACTAAAAATACAAAATTAGCTTGGTGTGGTGGCACATGCCTGTAATCCCAGCTACTTGGAAGGCTGAAGCAGAATCGCTTGAACCCGGGAGGCAGAGGCTGTGGTGAGCTGAGATCACGCCATTGCACTCCAGCCTGGGCAACAAGAGTGAAACTCCATCTCAAAAAAAACAAATAAACAACAACAAAAAAACCCACACAGTAACAGTCTGGGCCAGGCATGCTGGCTCATGCCTGTAATCCCAGCACTTTGGGAAGCCAAGGCAGGTGGATCACCTCAGGTCAGGAGTTCGAGACCAGCCTGGCCAACATGCGGAAACCCCATCTCTACTAAAGATACATAACATTAGCTGGGTGTGGTGATGGGCGCCTGTAATCCCAGCTACTTGGGAGGCTGAGGAAGGAGAATCGCTTGAACCTGGGAGGTAGAGGCTACAGTGAGCCAAGATAGCCAGCCACTGCACTTCAGCCTGGGGAACAGAGTGAGACTCTGTCCCAAAAAACAAACAAACAAACAAAATACAAA
Source organism: Homo sapiens (assembly GCF_000001405.40). Taxonomy (NCBI): domain Eukaryota; kingdom Metazoa; phylum Chordata; class Mammalia; order Primates; family Hominidae; genus Homo; species Homo sapiens. Next base: position 30,999,988 of record NC_000022.11, on the reverse strand, counting down.
GTAGCAGTCTGTCCCGCATCTGTTGAGTGATAGGTTTCCATCTTTCTATAATTTCTGGTCCCCATATAAGGAGTAAAGTAATAATGTCTTATGTGGTCATGAGGTGGTAGCTTCTAAAGTTGTCAGGTCATAATGTAAAATTTATTATTATTAAAAATTGCCTCAAATAGTTCATGTTTCATAAAATTCAGTATGTGCAGTCTTAACACATATTGTACCTTCCTTAGTAAGTCCAACTAATTTTCCTACATCAGGAAATACATTTTTTTTTGTTTAGTATCAGTTTGCATTTAGGGGTCAGGTTGAAATATATATACTCATACGTACATATACCTATACATAAACACATATGTATATCTCTATCTCTTTGTCTATGTCTGTGTCTCTCTCTCTCTCTCTCTTTTTTTTAATTCCCAGCCCTTTGAATTGAAGTTGGGTAATTTAAACTGAACTATTTTCCCCCATAAAAATGAGAATGTATTTTTCTGCAACTTGCTTTTTAAAGTATTTTTCCATGTTCCTTCACATAAATCTACATTACTCTTTTCAACAGCAACACAGTATTTTATGGGGGTGCCATAATATAACTATTCCATTCTCTTATTGATAGACATTTCAGTTGTTTGACTTTTTTTGTTATTATAAATGATGTCAGCAATATCCTTTTACGTATATTTGGCTTTCTTTTATGAAAATAACTTTATGGTTTAAAAATACAAGCCAGGCCGGTGGCTCAGGCCTGTAGTCCCAACTACTCAGGAGGCTGAGGCAGAAGGATCTCTTAAGCCCTTGAGCCCAGGAGTTGGAGGCTGCAAAGAACTATGATGGTGTCACTGTACTCTAGCCTGAGCGAAAGACTGAGATGCCGTCTGAAAAAAAGTCATTGATAGGTTCAAGAAACCAAGGGGCTAATCTGATTAGGTCTGCCAAACTTAACCTGCCCTGCTTGCTGCTTTTGGTCACTCGCTTGTTTTTTGCTTTTTTTGTGGTGGTGGTCATTTTAGACAGGGTCTCGCTCTGTCGCCCAGGCTGGAGTGTGGTGGCCCAATCAGGGCTCACTGCAGCCTCAACCTACTGGGCTCAAGTGATCCTCCTGCCTCAGCCCCCAAGTAGTTGGGATTATAGGCATGCACCAACATGCCTGGCTAATTTTTTGTATTTTTAGTAGAGATGGGTTTCGCCATGTTGCCCAGGGTGGTCTCGAACTCCTGGATTCAAGGGATCCACTCAGCACCTCAGCCTCTGGAAGTGCTGGGACTATAGGCGTGAGCCACTGTGCCCGGCTGTCTATTATTATTATTATTTTACCCAGGTAGCTAAAAGTCACACTGCTTAACACAGTAACGACCTTCACTGACTTCCTTACAGATAACATTTCTGAAGTATATGTTGCCATGGTAATTAATGATTGCTTAGGTTGCTTTTCAGGAGCTTGGGGACAGCTCCTGTCCAGTTCAAACTGGTTGAGACCACTAACCCTTCAACTGGGCATGTGCAAATGCCCCTGAGGTAGCCTTCTGGAATTACAGGGAGAAAAACTCTATCCTCTGATGATGCTAACGCAGCCATTTTCTGAACATGCATCCTATAAAAAGCCATGACCCCAACTACATTTGCACAGATCACCAATTCATTTTTCCTCAATGTCAATCATCTCTTCCTACGCCTTAGACCTCTCCGCTTCTCTAATCCATAAACATTCCTAAACCTTATTTTCAGGGAGGCCGACTTGAGAGCTGTTCTCCCACCTTCTTGCTGGGCTGCCCTGTGAATAAACCTTTTCTGTTTTGCAAAATCTGGTCACAGTGACTGGTTTACTGCACATGGGCAGAACGAACCTGGTAGGTATCAACTGCTAATTTAAGGAAAACAATGTATCATGAAATATTTATTTTTTTGTTTTTTCCTCATCGAGGTTAGAAGGAAAGGACGTTGAAGTAAATGTTGTTGGAGAACCCACTGTACATTAGTTATTTCACTTAAAGTTGTGGTTTCCAAGAACCTAACTACGATGTTAACTGACATTCTGTAAGGCATTATTTGTTATTAAAATTTTAAATTACAGAAAGACATAATGCATATAGATGAAAATTTAAAAATCATCCTTAATTCCATCACTATGAGATACTGAGTTTCAGTTTTTCTTTCTTTCTTTTTTTTTTTTTTTGAGATGGAGTCTGGCTCTGTTGCCCAGGCTGGAGTGCAGTGGTGCCATCTCAGCTCACTGCAACCTCCGCCTCCTGGGTTTAAGCGATTCTTCTGCCTTAGCCTCCCGAGTAGCTGGGACTACAGGTGCATGCCACCACGCCTAGCTAATTTTTGTATTTTTAGTAGAGATACGGTTTCGCCATGTTGGCCGGGTTGGTGTTGAACTCCTGACCTCAGGCGATCTGCCTGCCTTGGCCTCCCAAAGTGCTGGGATTACAGGCGTGAGCCACTGGGCCCAGCCATCAGTTTTTAAAAATATTTATTTTACTAGAATTTAATAGAAGAAAAAGAACTGAAGTGAAACCAAAGCACCCCTTCTCTATATATTCTTCTAAATTTAAAAAGAGATTGTGAAATAGTAAGAGCATGAGAACATTATATTTTTGGTTAAACTTTGTTTTTCTCAATAAGCATGACTTTATTAAACTTTATTAAACTTTGTTTTTCTCAGTAAGCATGTCTTTAAATTTCCATGCAATAACATTTTGTCACCTGCCAAATTAAAATCAGAAGACACTAATGATGGCCAAATAGACCACATACACACACACACACACCCACACCACACACTTTAAAAACTTATTGACAGGAACAAAATGCAAAACCTGAACTAGGCTACTCTGGGCACACTGTCTATGGAGTTGCCCTATTCTGCAAGGAGGAGTACAAAAAAAGTACACTTTCTTCAGGAGAAGGTAATAAAAAAAAGGCTGATCTCCAAGAAAAATATCCAATAAAAATCACAAATTGCTTGTAGGGGGGAAAAAAAAGATACCCACGGAAAACACATCTATTTACTATCTATTATAAATCCAACAAAATAATGAATTCAGAATATTAATCTTTCTCCTTCCTCATTTTTTTTTTTTGTCTACTATGGGCTAGGCACTATTTCATACTTATTTAAAATAACAACAACAAAAAAAAACTTGCTAAGTTTTGAACATGCACATTAAGCACCTCTGATGAATGACCTAAGGTCTCGTGGAATCTTTTATAATCTATCTTGGACTTGCTTAAAATCAAGTTCCTAGTGTCAGTGACACAGAACTTGAAGATGACTTGACAATCTACTTTGTAAGTCACTTGCAGGCCAAAATTCAGAATCTTGCCTTATTTAGTGCACTTCCTTTTTTCACTCCTATTTAATTTTTGCTGTCGAGCTTGTGTTTGAGTGACATGGCTTTTACTTGCTAAGAAGGCAATAAATTCAGCTTTGTTTTAGATGGCTATTTAGTGGTCTTTATTTCTTACTCACCAGTTTTCCCAAACCATATGCATTTTAGCTTGACCATGATTGTTCTAGCATAGCTTTTGTCCCCGCAAAGCTTCTAAATGCACTCTCCTTTTCTGGTAGTGAAAGAGCCTTTGTCTGGATATCATCTTTAAGAACTTCTAGATTTTTACTTATTCAATTTGTGCAATGGCATCTATTTTCTTTTCTGTGTTTTTTTTTGTTTTGTTTTTGTTGTTTGTTTTGTTCTCCCCCACAGGAAATGAAGCATCTATTTCCTTCTTGAAGTTTTTTTTTTTTTGTTTGAGACAGAGTCTCGCTCTGTCACCCAGGCTGGAGTGCAGTGGCACGATTTCGGCTCATTGCAACCTCCGCCTCCTGGGTTCAAGCGATTCTCCTGCCTCAGCCTCCTGAGTAGCTGGGATTACAGGTGCGTGCCACCACGCTCGGCTAATTTTTGTATTTTTAGCAGAGACGGGCTTTCACCATGTTGGTCAGACTGGTCTCGAACTCGTGACCTCGTTATCCGCCTGCCTTGGCCTCCCAAAGTGCTGGGATTACAGGTGTGAGCCACCACACCTGGCCTTCTTGAAGTTTTCATCCCTGAGACCTCTTACTTCCAGTTCTAGTTTTGACAGATTGTATTTTAGGTCTGCTGCATAGCTATCAAGTTAGGATTTTTTCCCAACTCTCTCCTACTTTAGTTCCACTGTTTCTTGCTTCCCAAATCTTTTTCCTTGATTCCTTTATTAATGTGTTGGAGCACATCCTCAAGTAATTTTTTTTTTTCAGAGAGTGCATGGGAGGGAAAGTTTCAGAATCCCTGCTTGTCTTCAAATGTCTCCTTTTGCCTCCACATTTGCTTGATTAGGATATGGAATTTTCTTTCAACATAATTTTCTCTATACAAAAGTTCATACAACAAATAGAAATTTCATTATGTTAATAACTGGCACCAAAATTCGTCGAAGGGAAAAGATTATCTATGGGATGAAAAAAATACACTGATAAGCTCATGTGGGTAGAAGATAAGGGCAGGAGTGTTTCAGAGAGACCTGGAGGAAAAGGAAATGGTTACACTGCTCATTATGAGACAAGAGGAGGAATTTGTACTGGTTCTGAGAGAGCAGAGGATTGAAGAGAGAAAGAAAAGGGGGGTCCACTACTCAATGTGAAGTGGACTGTGTGGTTGTGGTGGTACTTTTGAAAAATCTATGTCCACAAGTTCTTTGATACTCTTCAACAGCTGGAGCTTAATTCTCCTTCCCTCAAGTATGGGTAGACTTAGTGGCCTACTTCTAGTGAACAGAATCAAGCAGAAGTAATGGTGTGTGACTTCGAAGAGCAGGTCCTAAAAAGGTACTGTGGCTTACCTCTGGGTTGCCTTTAAGAGGGGTGACAATTTCCACTTCCTCTTTTGTGGAATGTTTGCTTTGGGAGAAGCCAGCTGCCATGTAGAAGTCTAACTACCTGAGATTGCCATGCTAAGATGAAGTCCAAGCTAGCCATGTGAAAAGGCAGCATCACCTTGCCCACAGCTACCCAACTTCCCAGCCCAGATACCACACATGGAAGTGAAGGAGCCATCTTGAACATTTCCTGCCTGTGATGGGTTAATATTGAGTGTCAACTTGATTAGATTGAAGGATGCAACGTATTGTTCCTGGATGTGTCTGAGAGTGTGGCCAAAGGATGTTAACATTTGAATCAGTGGACTGGGAGAGGCAGACCCACCCTCAATCTGGGTGGGCACCCAGCAGCTGCCAGTGCAGCTAGAATAAAGCAGGCAGAAGAAGTGGAAGGACTTGACTTGCTGAGTCTTCCAGCCTTCATCTCTCTGGTGCTGGAGGCTTCCTGCCCTTGAACTCCAAGTTCTTCAGCTTTTGGACTCTTGGACTTACACCAGTGGTTTGCCAGGGGCTCTCAGGTCTTCAGATGCAGATTGGGGGCTGCACTGTCGGCTTCTCTACTTTTGAGGTTTTGGGACTCCGACTGGCTTCCTTGCTTCTCAGCTTGCAGATGGCCTATTATGGGACTTCACCTTGTGATTGTGTGAGTCAATACTCCTTAATAAACTCCCCTTTTATATACATCTATCCTATCCTATCCCCTTTTATATACATCTGTCCCTCTGGAGAATCCTAACTTATACACCACCCCAGAAGACGCATCACGGAGAAGAACTGAGGCCCCAAGCTCATGGCCCCAGTTGAGCTGTCCCAGCCATCTTCAGCCATCATCACTGCACTGCACTGCACTGCACTGCAGCTGATGTCTTAGATATCTAAGAACAGAGATGAACCATCCATACTGTGTCCTGCCCAATTCCTGACCCACAGAATCATAAGTATATAAAATGCTTGTTGTTTTATGATACTAAGCTTTTTGGGGTGGTTTGTGATACAGCAACAAACAACTGGAACAATCATAGTTTACAAATGTTAAACTAAGTATTGAAAGTGACCTCGGCCACAATCCCAGCACTTTGGGAGCCTGAGGTGGGCGGATCACTTGAGGTCAGGAGTTTGAGATCAGCCTGGCCAACAAAGTGAAACTCCGTCTCCACTAAAATTACAAAAATTAGCTGGGCATGGTGGTAGATGCCTGTAATCCCAGCTACTCGGGAGGCTGAGGCAGGAGAATCGCTTGAACCTAGAAGGCAGAGGTTGCAGTGAGCAAAGATCGTGCCATTGCACTCCAGCCTGGATAACAGAGTGAGACCCTGTCTCAAAAAATAAATAAATAAGCAAATAAAGTGACCTCATGCTACCTCGTCGCAATAGCTCCAGTACTTAGCACAGAGGACTGGTCTTCCAGAGGCTTGATGAAAGTTTATTGAATAAAATGACTCCTGCCTTCCTTCTTCCTTCCTTCTCTTTCCTTACTATCTTCCCACTCACATTTAAAAGGAAAAGGCTGGGCGCAGTGGGTCATGTCTGTAATTCCAGCACTTTGGGAGGCCAAAGCTGGTGGATCCCTTGAGTCCATGAGTTCGAGACCAGCCTGAGCAACATGGCAAAACCCTGTCTCTACAAAGGATAAAAAAAATCAGCTGGGTGTGGTGGCAGTTACTAGGGTTGCTGAAGTTGGAGGATCACTGAAACCTGGGAGGTGGAGGTTGCAATGAGCTGAGATCACGCCACTGCACTCCAGCCTGAGCGACAGAGTGAGATCCTGTCTCAAAAAATAAATAAATAAAACAAAATAAAATAAAATAAAAGAAGCCCAAATGCTCAAAGTTCTGAAATGATACTCTAGGAGCTGATTTTCAGTTGCTCAGGGGACCAGGGAAGAATTGGGCCTCATGGGTGGTGGATGGCCAGATCTCAGAGGGTTCTAGCTTCTTCCTATTCCAAGTCCCTCCAAGGAACTCCCTTGATTGGAGATGAGGCTGTGGCTTTAAGGAACTTATCTCTGATAATAATTCCAAGGGTAAAGCTCTGGGGCACTGTGTGGGTTTTGGGAATACAGCAGCTAAGCTACGATGTTATGAGGAATTTGGAAGGAGGGAACTCTCTGGGTGCCAACAGGCTATCTGGCCTTTGGCATGTCCTCCCCTCTCTGGCCTCAGTTTCCTTTTAATGAGTCTCCTTTGCCAAAGCCCACTCTGGGAAAAACCTGAGGTCATTAAAAATGGAATCTGGCAATGGCCCAAAATGCTGGAAACAAATTCACCCCTCTGATGCTTCAAATTCTTCAGAAAATGTGGGCTGACACTGGAAAGAGCAAGTCACAAAACGGTCCGTACAGAACATTCTCTGTTTGTAACTTTATCCAGCCTCCCTGTATAGAACCAAGGTGGTGAAGGCTACTTGCCAATGTGTTATCTGTGGTTATCTGAGTTGGCAGGAGGAAATTATTCTGGGTAATTTTTATTTTCTTTTTGTGTGCTTCCAGATTTTCTACAATGAACATCTATTACTTTTGATAATCAAGAAATTAAAAAAGTTTAAAAGCAGGCCTTTTGGCACATGCCCTTTGTCATGCTCAGTAAGTACACAAGTTGCTTCTGGGTAGAAGTAAAAAAGAGAGGAATCATCCATGCAGCCTTGTGGGTGAAGACTGTGGGGTTTTCTAATTTATTGGTTTTCCCTTGCTATACAACAAATTACCACAAACTTAGTGGCTTAAAACAACACACATTATCTCACAGTTTCTGTGGGCTGGGAGTCCAGGCATGGCTTAGCCGAGTCCTCTGCTCAGGGACCCACAAGGCTACAGTCAAGATGTTGGGTGGGCTGTGTTCTCATCTGGATGTTTGAATGGGGAAGAATCCACTTCCAAGCACACTCAAGTTGTTGGCAGAATTCAGTTCCTTGGAGCTGTGGGACAGAGGGCCCCAGCTTCTTGCTGTCCTTTGCTTGGAAGCCACCCTCAGATCTATACCCACAGTTTCTTGCCATTTGGGATTTCCCAACATGTCCACTTTCTTTAACAAACCAGCAAGGAGAGCTTCTAGAGCAAGACACTATTTTTTTTTTTTTTTTTTTTTTTAAGCAGGGTCTTGTTCTGCCACCCAGGCCAGGCTGGAGTGCAGTGGCATGATCTTGGGATCACTGTAACCTCCACCTCCTGGGTTCAAGTAATTCTCCTGGCTCAGCCTCCTGAGTAACTGGGACTACTGGCACACACCACCATGCCCAGCTGATTTTTTTTTTTTTTTGTATTTTAGTAGACACAGTGTTTCACCATGTTGGCCAGGCTGGTCTCGAACTCCTGACCTCAAGTGATCCATCTGCCTTGGCCTCCCAAAGTGCTGGGATTACAGGCGTGAGCCACCATGCCCAGCCAAGACAACATTTTCTAAAAGGAAATCATAAAACCCACCTTAAGGGGAAGTCAATTGAAAGGGAAGGGATGACACAAAGGTACTGTTATGGACTGAATATTTCAGTAAAATTCACATTGAAGCCCTAACCCTCACCCCCACAGTGTGACTATATTTGAAGATGAGCCTCTAAGGATGTAATATTAAATGAGGTCACAAGGGTGAGGCCCTGATCTGATAGGATTAGTGACCTTGTAAGAAGAGCTCTTTCTCTATGTGCATGCACCAAGTAAAGCCATATGAGGACATATTGAGAAGGCAACCATATATAAGCCAGAAAGAGAGCCCTCAGAAACCAAGGCAGCTGATCACCCTAATCTCAGATTTCCAGCCTCCAGAAGTGTGAGAAATTAATTTCTGTTGTTTAAACCACTCAGTCTGTGGTATTTTGTTATGGCAGCCTGAGATGACTAAGATAGATGTGAACACCAGGAAGCATGGATCATTGGAGAGTGGTGGGGGTAAGAACACCTTTAAGCCTGTCTGCCACTTAATATTGTGAGGTTGGCTGGAATTCCAGATAGAAATTCCAGAAGCTAAGGTTCTCCTCAGAGGTTTTCATTCTGTAGGCCAGTGTGAGGCTTGCGAAGTTCTGAATGAACTCTCTGAAGGTGATCTCAATGATGGTGGCAGGTGGCCTACATCTGGGGAATAGATCAGGCAGCTTCAAATCCTGGCCCTGCCACTTCCTAGCTATAGAACCTTAGATTAATGGCTTCTTTCAGCCAAAGTTTCTTCATCTGATGTTGCCTGGCAAGTTATTAAAGGAAAATATAAAACACTCTCTGGTGTAAGCAGCTCTTATCTCCAGCCCAGCCCCAGCAAAAGGAGGCTGATGATATTGCTGTCTCATACCCCATCTGGAGATGTCCTTAGTATTCGGTGTTTCAGGGCCATGCAAAGATTTGAAATAAGAAGGGGACAGGATTTGAGGATGTTCAAAACATGGAGGAGACCTAATTCTTGCTTGTCCTTACAGCTGGAGAAGGTGAGTGTCCAGGTGTATATCTGAAGTCAGTTGGGGGACTGGACTGAAGGAAGAGCCAGTGTCTCTGGACACCAGAAGGAAGCGTCCTGGGCATGATGTCTAATAGCAGGTGAAGGAGGTGCTTTTTTTCCATGTGGTGACCACCATGGGAGGTGCCTTAGATTTTTGTCATCACAGAGTCATGGCTGGGGGTAGGGCGGTGTGAGCAAGTAGACTCAGGGCGGCATGAAATAACCTATAAAGGTATGGGAAACTTCTTGCGCTAGGGCTATGGAATAAAATTCATACCTGAAACATGTCAAATGAGATGACGTGTGTAAATTGCAGAGTTGTGTCTGGCACATGCTAAGGGTTTGATAAAAGAAAGCTACTATTCTGTTATCAACATCTCCTAGTTGAGTGGCTAAAAAGCCTCTGTTCTTATTCATCCACCATCATGGGTCCATTGTTTTCCAGGTTGAAGAAGATATATGGCTCAGAGAATGAGGTTTTGGTAGAAGCCTGCGTAGAAGATCATTTATATGGAGGGGATCCTCATACAGTGGATAAAAGCAGAGATCTTAGTTCCATTCCCAGCCCTAATCAGTTATTAACATGTATTGTAATAATGTTACAGAATGCTGTCCAGAATTGGGAGACGGGGTGGTATGGGTGTGTTTTAGATGCTTAACCAAAGGATATTTGAGCAAAATATACCATCAGGGCTAGATTACTGGGCATGCAACCTGCGGAGTCACACAAGCCTCCATACTTAAAAGGGCCCTGCTCCCAGAAGGGCCTCACATTTGTTTTGTGCTCTATTGTCACCTTCTTGAAATTCTTAATGATTTTTGAACAAGGGACCCCGCATTTTCATTTTGCACTAAACCCAACAATTTATGTATATGTCCTGTATACCACATCTTGATCTGAGTTCTTAGCAGCAATCTGAATGTGAAGTTTCCAAATTTCTTACAGCCCTTTATCTTCTATGAGTCTTGATAGATGTTGAGCAACTTCCTCCTTATGAAATTTCACAAGGCAGGGGTAGAATATGGACACTATAGGTTTAGGGGAAGGGGAAGGAGTCAGAGCCAGGGAGAGTGTGTGAGGATCCCCTCCACATAGGGCACCCAAAGATGTATAAAAGGAAGTGGTTTCCTGTAAGGCCTAGGTGGAAGACACATGGAAATCTGACTCAAATTTTCCAAGTGGAAGAAAGACCAGGAAATGAGAGAGGCAAGGAAAGAAGGGAATAAGCAGGTTCTGCCTCTCCTTCTTAGGCTGTTAGGTCCTAAGGACAAGCACAGAGGTGAAGCAAGAGTATGTGGTTATCATCAAAGGGGTCCACAGGGCTGTCAGGACACAATGCTATTGGAGCAGGGTTCTTTGCCTTAAAAGAGGGTACTGGGAGAGGTATCTTGGCGAAGAGCTATAAACACAGCAGCCTCAGCCCTCATTCCCTTTTTGGGTGCTCCAGGCACAAGGAAACAGCAATCCATTTGGCGAAGTGCTAAGAACAACTTGGTATCAATTTGCTTTTCGGCCAAAGCCAAGGATACTTGCTATTATAGACTCGAGGTTTCTTGAAACTTTTCCACATTCATTTTTGATCACTGTGAGTTTTCCCATAGTTAAACATAATGTAGCATCTCAAAGTGGTTGGGGTTGGGGCTTGCTTTGGGCCAGAAAGGGATGGGAGAAGCTGCATAACTCAACCCCGTTCTTCTGTAGGACCTGCAACGAAGCCTGTTCTACTACAGGCTGCCTTTCATCAAGACCTCTTCTAGGTCCTGTCTTTGGGGCTGGTTTCCAGGGCTGTCTCATGTGTGCATGTGCATGTTTACGTGTTGCTCTGAACTCTGATTTCATTCTTGATTTGTCATACACTTTCCAAAATTTGTGGTATAACTTAAGTGATTACATTGGAAAATGAATATTGTAAAATACACACAGAATATACTGCAGTATAATTGTGCTGGTCACAAGGCAAACAGAGATTTAAAACATCAGTTCATAGTGCACTCCAGGTGTTTGTTCTTAGGATAGGACGCAAGTTGAATGTCATTTTGAGGACCATCATTGTTGTGTTATGAGCATACCAGTAAATATTTATGACTGGAGCCTGAGTTCGTTGGTTCTCCTGTCTCGCCACCTCCATGGAAGCCATGTTCTATGTATGTCTCCTGAATCCTAGAAGACCTAAAACAGCCTCTGATCTTCTCTGGCCAAACCATCTTCTCTCCAACTCCAAAGAGTTCCAGGCATCATCTGAACTTGAGAAATCAGACTCTTGTCCAAAGAGGCCAAGTGTTGAATCAGGCAAACGTGATTCTGCTCTTTTTTTTTGAGATGGAGTGTCGCTCTATCACCCAGGCTGCAGTGCAATGGCACGATCTTGGCTCAGTACAATCTCCACCTCCCGGGTTTAAGTGATTCTCCTGCCTCAGCCTCCCGAGTAGCTGGGATTACAGGCACCCACCAACATGCCCAGCTAATTTTTATATTTTTGTAGAGATGGGGTTTCACCATGTTGCCTGAGCAAATGGCAATTGTTAGCAATAATGCTGTTAAGGCAACAATATCCTGGAAGACTTAGCTCAGCCAGCCATTCCCTTGCCATTTTTAACCACAGCACAACTGCTGGTGTCAATGACATGCACATGCTATCACATTCAATTTGTTTTATAAGGAAAAGCAATTTCTTATTTACCCCACCACCCTCAGAAATGCTGTCGACAGAAAAACATGTCACATTCCCTTTCTCTCATGGGCTGAGGTCCTTGGATGCCACTCATGCCAGTTGGCCAGTTAGCAAATGTGGTAGGAGGCCTGGATTAAGAAGGTCCAATTCTCATTCATAGAAATATGGCCTTTCTTGGGCAGATCACTTGAGGCCATGAATTTGAGACCATTCTGGCCAATATAGTGAAATCCTGTCTCCACTAAAAATACAAAAATTAGCCAGGTGTGGTGGTGCACGCCTGTAATCCTAGCTACTCGGGAGGCTGAGGTAGGAGAATTGCCTGAACCCAGGGGACGGAGGTTGCAGTGAGCCGAGATTGCACCACTACACTCCAGCCTGGATGACAGAGTGAGACTCCATCTCAAAAAATTAAAAAAGAAAAAATGAAACATGACCTCTGTCATCTCTATCAGAGCAGGTGAACAGTCCTGGGAGCCTGGGCACACTCCACAGGGATAAATGGCTTACCACTGCACTGACTGCATCAGATCAAGGTCCCATACCCTCAATTGCTACTTGTTATTAAAAAAAAAAAACCGTAGGTTTGTTTCAGTCAGAGTCCTGGTCCTTTACACCAACAATAATAAAAGGTATTTTTCTGCTTAGGTGTAATTCCAAACAATTAGAATATCCCAGAAGCCCTCACAGTTTTATCCCAGGTTGCCATCCCAAACCAGTAGGTCTCCATGTCTTAAAGTAGCCGAAATAAGACCCAGTCATTAGGTCAGGGAAATGGGCTGAAGCTAGATCAACAATTACATCAAGAGTGGAACACTGAGAATCTTAAGGACTCCTGGGCTCATCTTTGCCATTCTCCTGAGTCAACAGAAGTGGAACAGAAACAGCAGAATTAGGCCGGATGCAGTGGCTCACTCCTGTAATCCCAGCACTTTGGGAAGCCGAGGCAGGCAAATCACCTGAGGTCAGGAGTTCAAGACCAGCCTCATTCTCAGATGAGCAACCTCCTTGTGGTGGCAAGAGGGCTGCCAATAATGCCAGTCTTGCAACCTTACAGTTCTAAATTCAATAGATTAAAAAGGAAATTCCCCCACCTCCATTAGCTCTATTTGTGTAAAACTGGCTTGGCTTAGATAATAAACTCACTCCATATCCAACTACCCTGACCAAGGCGCTGCAGTGCTCTGGTCGGTCCGAGTTACATGCTCAGTCCTGGAGCCAGGGGTAGTGAACAGACAGAAAGTGAAGGAGGGTTGGAAACTCAGAGCGCAACTAATATTCTCTTATCAAAAGAAGTGAAGATAGATACTGAGTAGACAAAAGCAATGGATGTCCATAACAGTGAGACTCTGAGAGCATAAAGGAGGGCCACTGAACTAATAAAGAGACCAATTTATTAATTTATGATTTTTTTCTTGAGACGGATCTCACTCTTGTTCCCCAGGTTGGAGTGCAATGGTGCGCTCTCAGCTCTCAGCTCACTGCAACCTCCGCCTCCTGAGTGGCTGGGATTACAGGCACCCACCACGCCTGGCTTAATTTTTGTATTTTTAGTAGAGACGGATTTTACCATGTTGGCCAGGCTGGTCTAGATGTCCTGACCTAAAGTGATCTGCCCGCCTCGGCCTTCCAAAGTGCTGGGATTACAGGCGTGAGCCACTGTGCACAGCCCTATTAATTTATGATTAAAGATATGTGGCTGGTTCATGACCCAACCAGTCATCTACTCTTAGTGAGTCCAGCTAGGGGCAGGTTGATTCAGTAGTATAAAATCAGAACGGATGGAATCAGATGTTCCTAAGAAATATTTCCAGCAAAATATTTATGGGCAGACTACGTTCAGTTGTGAGGCAGAGAAAAACCTCATATACTAATGATGTCAAGAAGACAGAAATTAGTTTTGTAAACGAGGTCCAGAGATAAGCAGTTCAGGCCTGGTAAGGTGGCTTCACATTCATCAGGAATCTAGGCTCCTTCTAACTTGTTGCTCCATCGTCACTGGCACAGAGTGCCTTCTCCTTTATGGTCCAACAGTGACAAATTCCAGTCATGGAATTCTAGTCAGCGGGGTGAAGCCTACATTCTAGTCAGGAGGGTGAAGGAAGGAGATGGGCTCACTCCTTTTTAAGGATAAGTCCTATAAGTTACTCAGGTCCCACTGGCTAAAATTTAGTTAGTGGGTTACACCTGCCAGGGAAACTGAAAAATGTGTTTACTCTGGGAAGAACAAATACAGGGAGACAACACATCTTTGTTAGAAGTGGCACCCTAGTGGACAACCCTTTCTCTGTCGTAGGGAGTGGCCTATTCAAAGGCTGAGGGCCAGTCACCTGGAACCCATGCATCTACAAAAGGCAACCCTGGATATAAAAGAGTTAACCAACTGTTACTCTTTGTTGCCCTCTTTTTTGATCCCTTAGCATATGCTAACTTGAAAAAGTCTAGGTACAATTTAATTGCTTTAAAAATTATATTTATGGCTCACACCTGTAATCCTAGCACTTTGGGAGGCCGAGGAGGGTGGATCATTTGAAGTATGCAGTTCGAGACCAGCCTGGCCAACATGGTGAAATCCTGTCTCTACTAAAAAAAAAAGAAAAAAAAAAAAATCAGCTGGGCGTGGTGGCATGTGCCTGTAATCCCAGCTACCTAGGACACTGAGGCAGGAGAATTGCTTGAACTCGGGAGGTGGAGGTTGCAGTGAGCCAAGATTGCGCCACTGCACTCCAGCCTGGGCGACAGAGCGAGACTCCATCTCAAAAAAAAAAAAAATAAAAATAAATAAAAATTTAATTATTTCCCTTAGAAATAAACTGTCTCTTAAAAAAAAAAAAAAGGATGTGCTCCCACAACCAGTGAAACAATGCCAGTATGTATAAAGCACCAAGTTTCTCCAAACCCCTCAATTTGGTGTATCCTTCCACTTTTCTTTCATGTTCATTTAGATACATTTGTAGGGCTTCCAGCCCTGCACCCCATACAATGGGCTATTATGATATACATTACTCTGTAATTTTTGTTTGTTTTGCTTAATGCATCATGGACATGCCACAGGCTAAGAAATAGAGGTCTTCTTTCTAACAGTTGCATAACACTCCACAGTATAGCTGTCCTATAACTGATTCAACCACTCCACTTTGATCGATTGCTTTTTAAATTTTTTTGCTAGCACAGGTTACGTTGCAGTAAATTTCTCATACTGATGTCCTTTTATCTTGGTGCTTTTAGTTCTTTGAGAGTCTTTAAAGTAGGAATGCTGGGTCCAAAAGTGTATATTTAAAAATTTGCATCAGTATTGCCAGATCATCATCTAAAAAAATTGGAACAATCTACATGCCCACCAACAATGTATAAAAGTTTTGTTACCCTAATTCTTGCCAGCACTATATGTTACTGCTCTTTTAAATTCTGCCATCTGATAGGTGGCAAATGGTACTTCATTGCTCTGTTGTACATCACATCTCACTGACCTCATTATCTTTCATATGCTTACGGAAATGTTGAAGAGCATCATGGTTCAAAGTACAGACTAACAGACAACCTGTGTTTGAGTCATAGCTCTATCACCTATTGTGTGACATGGGCAAGTTATTTTATCCTTCTGAGCCTGTTTCCGTAGCTGTAAAACAGGAATAATATTGCCTATCTCATAAACTGTGACAATTAAATAACACTTGTAAAGTGCCTGAAACAATGCCAAGTATGAAACAAACACCAAATAAATGGCTAGTGATTATTACTTTACTTATAAATTTGTAGGAACTCTCTGTATTAGCAACATTAGTCCTGGATCTGTCATTTATGTTGGAAATATCTCTCCAATCTATCACATCTTTTACAGAACCAAGATTTGTTTCATGTAGTCTTATATGTCTGTAATTTCCTTTATGGCTTGTAGGTTTTCTGCTTTGTTTATGAAAATCTCCCATGTCATAAGATCACAAAAATAGTCTCCTAAATATTCTTCTAGTGTTTCATTTTAAGATTTAAATCTGTAGTCCTTTTGGTATTTATCTTTGTAAATGTTGTGAGGTAGGGATTTGGTTGCTCTCTAGGCACCTTACTGTAGCTCTCTGTATCAGTTACAAATACTAGATTTTTAAAAATTTCATGGAAAGAAATATGGAAGAAAATAAATTACAGTATTCATAGCAATAGGCTTTTGGGTTGTTCTGAATAATCATTTCAATTTTGTCTTTCTTTTAATGAATTCTTGCATCTCCACTGCTTTAAAAAATGTGGAACCCAGCCAGGCACTGTGGCTCACACCTGTAATCCCAGCACTTTGGGAGGCCGAGGGGGATGGATCACGAGGTCAGGAGATTGAGACCATTCTGGTCAACATGGTGAAACCCCGTTTCTACTAAGATACAAAAAATTAGCTGGGCATGGTGGTACGCAGTTGTAGTCCCAGCTACTCGGGAGGCTGAGGCAGGAGAATTGCTTGAACCTGGGAGGCAAAGATTGCAGTGAGCCGAGGTAGTGCCATTGCACTCCTGTCTGGCAACAGAGCAAGACTTCAGTTCAAAAAAAAAAAAAAAAAAAAGTGGAAACTTTTTTTTCAAATGAAATAATAATAATACAGGAAATTCCAATATACAAAATTGAGTTGTTCCTGTTTGAAGTGGCAAAAGATGAAGCTTGAGGAATAAGATAATGAGAAGCTGAAGAGCCTTGTAAACCAGGAGAGTTTAGATTTTATTCTGAAATGCCGGGGGAACTATTAAAAGGTTAAGTAGGCTGGGCATAGTGGCTCACACCTGTAATCCTAGTGGTTTGGGAGGCCAAAGTGGGAGGATTGCTTGAAGCCAGGAGTTCAAGACCAGCCTGGGCAACATAGCGAGATAGTGTATCTACAAAATAAATAAATAAATAAATGGCCAGCCAGGCATGGTGGTACGTGCCTGCAGTCCCAGCTACTCATGAGGCTGAGGCAGGAGGGATGCTTGAGGCCAAGAGTTTGAGGCTGCAGTAAACTATGATTGACACTGCATTCCAGCCTGGGCAACAGGGATACCCTATCTCTTGGGGGGCTACTCTAGCTGTCCTGTAGAGAAGACTGCAGTGGGACAATAATAGAGGCAGTGAAACCACTAGAAAGGCATTATAGTACTTACAGCAACAGATATATGTTCCCTTGGACAAAGTGATAGAAGTGGAGATAGTTTTAAGGTATATATTTACATGCTAACACCAAGATCATTTAATGACTAACAGGGACTCTGGGAGAGAGGGAAGCTTCGAGAATAACTCTCATGTTCTGGTTTGAGAAACAGAGTAGAGGGTGGTGCCATTTACCAACAAAGGGAACACTGGAGAGCAGATTTTAAGGAAAAAATGAAGAGGTCAGCGTTTATTATGTTGGGTGAGAGTATCTTTGTGTTAATCAAGCAGTGGATATCAAGGTACAGGTGGGCATTCAGATCTGGAGCTCAAGACACATATCAAGGCCAAAGGTAGGAATCTGGAAATTATCAATATACAGTTAGAAACCAAGGCCATGGAAATGGATGAGATTTTTCAGAGTCTACAGGGCAAGAAGACTTAAAGATTAAGTCAGGAATCTGGGCAGGTGAAGACCTCTCACATTCCTCTCAGAA
This sequence comes from Homo sapiens, assembly GCF_000001405.40. Classification (NCBI taxonomy): domain Eukaryota; kingdom Metazoa; phylum Chordata; class Mammalia; order Primates; family Hominidae; genus Homo; species Homo sapiens. Next base: position 30,982,447 of record NC_000022.11, on the reverse strand, counting down.
ACTCATATACCTCTTACACATTATCCTCTGGGCTCACATGGCATGGGAAATGGGTAGTTTCCCAAAGGAAAGGTGAAGTGCTATTCTCAGAGGGGAAAAAGATAACACTGGGTAGGCAAACGTACACTATGTGGACATGCATTCTTCAACATGAAC